>NC_000016.10:35784622-36084622 GCF_000001405.40 Homo sapiens
AAAGGTTTATGTGTGTCACATGAATCCACACATTGCAAAGTGTTTTCACAGATATCTTCTTTCTAGTTTTTATTGCATGATATTTGGTTTATTTCTATAGGCCTCAATGGGTCCAAAATGTCCCTTCGATCCCTTTGAAGATTGTACAAAAAGAGTGGTTCCAACTGTCTAAATATACACAAAAGTTTAACTCTTTGAGATGAATCCACACATTGCAAAGCCTTTTCCCAGATAGCTTGTTTCTAGTTTTTATGGCAGGATATATGGTTTTTCACTATATATATGGTTTTTCACAATTGACTATAGGTCTCAATAAGCTCAGAAATGTTCCTTCATAGAGATTACAAGAAAAAGTGTTTCCAACCAGCAGAATCAAATGAAACATGTAACTCTGTGAGATGAATCCTCACATTGCAATGCATTTTCACAGATAGTTTTTTTCTAGTTTATATTGTGGGATATTCGGTTTTTCACTATAAGCCTCAAAGGGCTCTGAAATGTCCCTTCGTAGATTATACAAATAGAGTTCTTCCAACCTGTTGAATCAAAAGAAATGTTTACCTCTGTGAGATGAATTTGCACATCACAAAACCCTATCACAGATAGCTTTTTTTCTAGTTTCTATTGTGGGATATTCTGTTTTTCACTACAGGCCTCAAAGGACTTTGAAATGTCACTTCATAGTTTTTATGAAAGAAGTGTTCCCAACCTGCTGAATTAAAAGGAAGGTTTAACTCTTTGAGATGAATTCACACATCACAAAACATTTTCACTGATAGCTTGTTTCTACTTTTATCATGGAATATTCAGTTTTTCTCTATAGGCCTCAATGAGCTCTGAAATGTCTTTTCATGGATTCTACAAATAGAGTGTTTCGAACCAGCTGAATCAAAGGAAGATTTAATTCTGTGAGACAAATACACATTTCAATGCATTTTTACAGATATCTTGTTTCAATTTTTTATTGTGGGATATTCAATTTTTCACTACTGGCATCAATGGGCTTTGAAATGTTCTTTCTTAGATTCAATAAAAAGGATGTTTCCAACAGGCTGAATAAAAACAAAGGTTTAACTCTGAGAAATGAATCCATGCATCACAAAGATCTTCTTTCTAGTTTTTATCCCAGGATATTTGGTTTTTCACTATAGAGTTCAATGGATTCTGAAATAATCCTTCATAGATTCTACAAAAATGTGTTTCCAACTGGCTGAACCAAAAAAAAGGTTTAGCTCTGTGAACTGAATCCACACATCGCAAGGTGTTTTTACAGATAGCTTGTTTCTAGTTTTTATCGTGGGATAGTTGCTTTTTCACTATAGGCCTCAATGGTCTTTGAAATATCCCTTCATAGATTCTACAAAAAGAGTATTTCTAACTAGCTCAATCAAAACAAAGTTTTAACTCTGTCAGATGAATCCACACATTGCAAAGCACTTTCACAGGTAGCTTGTTTCTAGTTTTTATCATGGGATATTAGTTTTTTCACTACAGTCCTCAATGGGATCTGAAGTGTCCCATCATAGATCCTACAGAAATAGTGTTTCCAACTGACTGGATCAAAACAAAGGTTGATGCCATCAGATAATTGACTATTTAAACCAGGTCCTGAACTCCTCTACTCTGACTGAGAAACATTTTAAGGCAATATGCCACAATTAATGTAGGGCTATTCATGGAAGTTTGTTTACTATATGTCATTATGTTGTGAGCAAAAATGATGTTATCCAAGAAGTCTTTCAGTTTTTCCGACTCCAGAGAAATCAGTTTGTCTACATTTAAAATACAGTGTCTTCCTTTCACCATGGTTATTGGAAATATCACAGACATAATTGCAACTCACCAACTTTATATGTTGAGTATTTATCAGTATATTCCTGCTGCTCCTTCTCAGTATGGCTGTCTGGGAAAAGCAGGAAACACCCCAAAGGCAAGTCCAAGGCACAGCAGAGGACTCACACCTGGATCTGGATTCTCACAGGGGCATGTGAGGTTGAGAGTGTCTCAGTGTCCATCTGGGGGGATTGCAAGCCTAAAAAGGTGTCCAGGAGTGTTGTGGAGGCGCACTAAGAACTTCACATGAAAGCAAAGGGAAATCAAGCCTCACCTGGGAGCACTAGAGGGCCCACACTGGAGTCCAAGCCATGTTCAGGGATTCTTGCCAGAGGACACAAGAGCCTCCTGAAAAATGCAAACCAGCGCAGCCCCCACAATGAGATCACTACCCACAACCTGGCCTGTAGCCAGCCTACCCAAAGTCTCTTTTGCTCCCTAAAATCCCTGGCAGCCAAGAAGGCCCGTGGCAAGAGGCAGTCCGACCCAGCAACAGCCCAAATAAGACTCCCTTCTCAATGAGAAAGGACATGCACATGAAAGGAAACAGAGCCTAGATTACCAGGCAAAAACCAGACATGTCTGGCTGCTCCTCATTCTCCAGGAATCATGCAGCCTTCTGACAGAAGAGGGAGAACAAGAGTTTGCTTCTTGGCGGATATAACAGGAATCCATGGTTCCAAAAGTATCACAGTTGCCCAGTCATTAAAACATGACAGTGTTTAGAAAGAAACACTCATGCAGTGAATCCCCATGACGGTCATCTTCCATGATGTAGGAGATGTTTACTGTGTAAGTCTTTGAACCAGGCCCAGGAAACCCAAAACCAACAAGGAACATGGAAGTCAGGAAAATAAAAGGCCAGAGTGGAGGCCACAGCCTACCCAACAACAATCCATCCCACACCCATGTGGTTCTGGGGAAGAAAGCCCAAACCGGGAGCTGGCCAGAATGGCCACAGTTTGTGCCCCAGCGGTTCCTTGCACATTGGAGTTCTTTTTCCTTGGCAGCGGGATATGGTGTGGAAAGCTTGTGCAATGAAAGAAAAGTGGAGATAAACTTGGAGGTACCTTCTGCATGATCTGTATGCACTTCTCCTGAAGGTGAAGTTGCAGGACTGCATCCACACCTCACAAGACTGTATCCTCAGCCCTCTCTGATCTTGTTGCTGCTCACACTCTCTGCCCCAAAATGAAATGCCAAGACGATGGAAGCATGCCCGCCTCACGCTGTGAGGCATCTGCTCTGCTGGGAATCAAATTCAAGTGGATTCAAAAGGCCCTACGGACAGGACTGTTATGGTCCAGCCCTGAGTTGCCACAGGACAATGAGGCAATGGGAGATTTCTCTTCCTGGGTGTGGTGTGCTCCTCATCTTTCCAGAAAAGTTGCTTCTTTGCAGGGGGAGGTGATTTGGACTGCTGCCTGTCTCAGTCAGCCACCCTACTTCACTGCAGATTCAGGAACCACGGAGAAAACAAAAGGACACGCAGCCCTGCAGCCCAAGTGGAGCCACACATAGGTGCAAAAAAGGTCAGCTGACTAGAAGGAAAAAGCCCTCCTGTGCATGAGCCACATTCCTTTCAGCAGACTCCACTTGCACGCAAACACAGACACACAGACACAACAAACACACACACACAGCCACACACACAAACCCAGATATCTAACACTCGCAACACTCCCACAGAAACACACAGCCCAGCAGCTTCTGAGGCTGCATGGCTTTGCCCTGCCAGGAAGCCTTTCCGGAGAGAAAGCAGCCATGGGAAACACAAGCAGGCTGGACCTAGAAATCACAGGGGGGCACCTTTCAAGGAGACTCACCCCCACACCGTCTAGGGAGGACTGATGCATCCTACAGATCCCTTTGGATCTTTACGGATTTCGCAGTTCATCCCTGGGGCTCCAATTGACTTTTCTTCAGGCTGGCTTGGTCCTGCCCACTCTTAGGATCCTGGGACTATCCCGTGAATCCACTGGGGAGAACAGGCGAGAGTCCAATGCTGATACATGTCCACAGAGGTCTCCTGTTCCGCCAAGCCACAGGGACCCATCACCAGGCAAAGGTGGCGTTCACTGTGATGCAAGCCATGGCTCACTGCTCGTGCCTGGTGCCCAGAGACTGGTACGTAGGCATTTGAGAGGCAGGCTCTGGCGCCTGGCTGTCAGGGCTGTCAGCCTTCCTAAGCAGATAAAAATGGTGGAGGCAGAGCCGGCCTGGTCTCGGGAAAAAGGCTGCCTGTGACAACCAATTCAGGGCCCTAAATGTCTAGGCTATAGGTCCTCCTTGGGCCAACTCTGCGGTTGGGTCCCGCGGGAGGAGGAGCCTCCTCAAGACTATGAGATGAGCACTGGAAACTGCTGTTCTGATTCCATTCCCGAAAGAGGCTGTGTGCAGGAATCGTGTCCCATGGGGATGGGGATGCAGTCTGGTGAGTTGTTGAGGGGTCTCTGGGAGTTGCAATCATACCTGACCCCCAGAGGAGTGTAGCAACAGAAGATTGCTGGGTCCTTGAGCTCACTGCCTCCCTTCATTCTGGGCCTCCCAGAAGCTCCTGCTTCTCAGCACGGCTGTCTTGAAAAGGTGGAAACCACGACAAAGGCAAGTCCAAGGTGGAGCAGAGGTCTCACACTTGGAACTGGATTCTCACTGGGGCAGATGAGGTTGAGAGAGTATCTTAGAGGGTCTGGGGTGATTGCAAGCCTGAAAAGGTTGTGTAGGAGTGCTGTGGAGGGGCACTAAGGACCTTCTATGAAAGCAAAGGGAAATCAAGCCTCACCTGGGAGCACAAGAGGGCCTGTGCTGGAGTCCAAGCCATATTCAGGGATTCCTGCCAGAGAATACAAGAGCCTCCTGCAAAGTACAAAGCACCCTAGCCCCCACAACAAAACAACTACCCACAACCTTGCCTGCAGCCAGCCTACCCGAAGTCCCTTTTGCTCTCTGAAATCCCTGGCAGCCAAGAAGATCTGTGGGGAGAGGCAGTCCCAGCTATCAACAGCCCAATGAAAGGCCCCCTCCACAATGATAATGGATGTGCAGATGAAAGGAAACAGATCCTAGATCACCAGGCAAAAGCCAGACACATCTGACTGCTTCTCATCCTACAGGAATCATGCAGCTCTCCGATAGAAGAGGGAGAACAAGAGTTCCCTTCTTAGTGGATATAATGGAAATTCATGGTTCCAAAAGTATCACAGCTGCCCAGTTATTAACACATGACAGTGTTTACAAAGAAACACTCATGCAATGGATCCCCCTAAGGATTGTCCTCTGTGAACTGGGAAAGATTTACTACGGAAGACTTTGAGCCAAACTGAGGAAATCTTAGGCCCAAGAGGAACATGGCAGTCAGGAAAAGAAAAGCCCACAGTGGAGGCCACAGCCCACCGAGCATCAAACCATCTCACTCCTGTGTGGCTCCAGGAATAAAAGCCCAAAGTAGGAGCTGGCCAGAATGGCCACAGTTTGCACTCCAGTGGTACCCCTCATATTGTAGTCCTTTTTCCTCGGCAGCAGGCCATGGTGTGGAAAACTTGTGCAATGAAGAAAATGCGGGGATAACATTGGAACAAACTTCTCGTCATCTGTCTGCACATCTCCTGCAGGTGAAGTGATGAAACTTCATCCACTCCTTACCAGATTTTATTTGTATCCTCACCCCTCTCTGACATTATTCCTGCTCACACTCTCAATCCTGGAATGAAATCCCAAGATGATGGAGCACTGCCTGCCTCCTGACGTGAGGTACCTGCTCTGCTGCAAACCAAATTTGAAGTATTTTAAGTATTTTCAAGGGGCCCTGCAGACAGGACTTATAAATCACAGGGGGGTACCTTTTAATGAGACATACCCCCACACTGTCTAGGCAGGCCTGATGTATCCTGAGGATGCTTTTGGATCCTTAGTGATTTTGCTGTGCATCCCTGTGGCTCCTTTTGATGTGTCTTCAGACTGGCTCGGCCCTGCCCACTCCTAGAATCCTGGGACTATTCTGTGGATTCCCTAGAGAAGACAGGAGAGAGTCCAATGCCGTCGCATGTCCACAGAGGTTTCCTGCTCCACCAAGCCACAGGGACCCATTGCCAGGCAACAGTGGTGTTCACTGTGAGGTGAGCCCTGGCTTACCACTCATCCCTGGTGCCCAGAGAGTGGCACATGTGCATTTGTGAGACAGGCTTGGGCTCTTGTCTTTCAGGGCTGTCAGGCTGCCTAAGCAGAGGAAAATAGTGGAGGCAGACTGGCCTGGTCTTGAGAAAAAGGCTGCCTGCAACAACCAATGTGGGACCCTAAATGTCTTGACCATAGGGCCTCCTCGGGCTAACTCCTTGACCAGGTCCCGCCAGAGGAATAGTTGCTTGGAGACTGTGAGGTGGGCACTGGAAACTGCTCTTTTGATTCCATTCCTGAAGGAGGCTGTGTGCAGGAATCGTATCCCATGCGGATGGGGATACAGTCTGGTGGGGTCTCTGAGATTTGGAATCATACCTGAGACCCCAGAGGTGTGTGTCAGCCCAAGATTGTTGGGCCATTGATCTCACTACCTCCCTTCATCCTTTGTCTCCCAGGGGCTCCTGCTTCTCAGCATGGCTGTCTGGGAAAGAGAGAAACAATGACAAAGGCAAGTCCAAGGTGGAGCAGGGGTCTCACACCTGGAACTGAAATCTCACTGGGGCAGATGAGGTTGAGTGTCTCAGAGACCATATGGGGCTATTGAAAGCCTGAAAAGGGTGTCCAGGAGTGCTGTGGAGGGGTACTGTGTACCCCCCAATGAAAGCAACAGGAAGTCAAAGCTCACCCGGGAGCAGGACAGGGCCTGTACTGGAGTCCAAGCCATATTCAGGGATTCCTGCCAGAATACACAAGAGCCTCCTGAAAAGTGCAAAGCTCCCCAGCCCCCACAATGAGACCACTGCCCAGAACCTAGCCTGCAGCCAGCCTACCTGAAGTCCCTTTTACTCCCTGAAATCCCTGGCAGCCTAGAAAATCCGTGGTAAGAGGCAGTCCCACCCAGAAACCACCCAATGAAACAAACCCTCCACAATAAGAAGAAATGTGCAGATAAAATGAAACAGATTACAAGGCAAAGCCAGACACGTCTGTCTGCTTCTCACCCTACAGGAATCATGCAGCCCTCAGATAGAAGAGGGAAAACAAGAATTTCCTTCTTGGCTGATATAACAGGAATCTATGGTTCCAAAAGTATCACAGCTGCCCAGTCATTAAAACATGACACTGTTTAGAAAGAAAGACTCATGCAATGGATCGCCCTGAGGGTCATCCTCTGTGAACTGGGGAACGTTTACTGTGGAAGACTGTGAGCCAGACCTAGGAAACCCTAGGCCATGAGAAACTTGGAAGTCAGGAAAAAAAAAAAAAAAGCCAGAGTGAAGGCCATAGCCCACCTAGCATCAATCTATCCCACTCCCATGTGACTCTGGGAATAAAAGCACAAAGAGGGAGCTGGCCAGAATGGCCACAGTTTGGGCCCCAATGGTTTCCCATACGTTAAAGTCCCTTTTTCTCAGCAGTGGGCCATGGTGTGGAAAGCTTGTGCAATGATAGAAATGCAGGGATAAAGTTGAAAGCACCTTCTGTGTCATTTGTCTGCACCTCTCCAGCAGGTGAAGTTGCGGGACTCCATCCACAACTCACCAGATTATATCCTCACCCGCTCTGATCTTATTGCTGCTCACACTCTCCGTCCCGGAATGAAATCCCAAGCTGACGGAGAAGTGCCCGCCTCCCGATGTGAGGCACCTGGTCTGTTGAGAACCAAATTCGGAGTGAATTCAAGGGACCCTGCAAACAGGACTGCTAGGGTCTGGCCCTGGGTTGCCCGCAGGATGAGGACCTAGGAGGTGTCTGTTCATGGGTGTGGCATGCTTCTCTTCCTTCTAGAGAAGGGGCTTCTTTGCAGGTGGAGGCGATTTGGACCCCTGCATGTCTCAGCCAGCTCCCCACTTCACCGCAAATCCAGAAACCACAGGGAAGTTAAAGGACATGCAGCCCCGCAGCCCAAGCAGAGCGACACAGAGAGGCACAACAAAAGGTCGTCTGATTCAAAAGAAAAAGCACTCCGGTGTGTGAGCCACATTTCTTTCAGCAGACTCCACCTACACGCGCACACAGACACACAGACACAAACGGCCACACGTACGCAGACAGCCAACACAGCAACACTCCCACAGAAGCACGCAACCCAGCAGCTTCTGAGGCTGCGCGGTTCTGCTACACCAGGGAGCCCCTCCGTGGACAGAGCAGACTCAGGGAACACATGTGGGCTGTACCTAGAAATCACAGGAAGGCAACTTTCAAGTAGGCTCACCCCCACACCGTCTAGGCAGGCCTGATGCATCCTGTGGATCCGTTTGGTTCCTTAGGGATTTTGAGGTGCATCCCTAGGGCTCCACTTGACGTTTCTTCAGGTTGGCATGTCCCTGTCCACTCCTAGGATCGTGGGACTATCCTGTGGGGATCACCAAGAGAAGACAGACGAGAGCCCAACGCTGATGTACCTCCACAGAGGTCTCCTGCTCTGCCAAGCCACAGGGACCCATTGCCAGGCAATGGTGGCATTCACTGTGTCGCAAGCCAGGGCTCACCACTCTCACCTGTGCCCAGAGACTGGCGCATGCGCATTCGTGAGGCAGGCTCGGGCACCCGGCTTTCAGGGCTGTCAGCCTGCCTAAGCAGAGGAAAATAGTGGAGGCAGAGTCGGCCTGCTCTCAAAAAAAAAAAAAAGCTGCTTGCAACACCAAATGCGGGAACATAAATGTCTCCATCATAGTGCCTCTTCGAGTGCACTATGATGCTAGAGTGGAACTCCGTGGTCGGGTCCCCTTGAGGAAAAGTCGCTTCGAGACTGTGAAGTGGGCGTTGGAAACTCTCTTCTGTTTTCATTCTCGAAAGAGTCTGTGTGCAGGAATCGGGTCCCATGGGGATGGGGATACAGCCTGGTGAGTTGTTGAGGGGTCTCCGGGAGTTGGAATCATACCTGAGATCCCAGAGGTGCATGTCAGCGGAAGATTACCAGGCCCTTGAGCTCACTGCCTCCCTTTATCCTGGGCCACCCAGGGGCTCCTGTTTCTCAACACAGCTATCTGGGAAAGGCAGGAACCATGACAAAGGCAAGTCCAAGGTGGAGCAGAGGTCTCACACTTGGGACTCGATTCTCACTGGGGCAGATGAGGTTGAGAGAGTGTCTTAGAGGCCATCTGGGGCAATTGCAAGCTGAAGAGGGTGTCCAGGAATACTGTGGAGGGGCACTGTGAAAGCAAAGAGAAATCAAGGCTCACCTGGGTTCATGACAGGCCTGTGCTGGAATCCAAGCCGTGTTCAGGGATTCATGCCAAAGGACACAAGAGCCTCCTGCAGAGTGCAAACCACCTCAGCCCCCACAACAAGACAACTACCCACAACCTGGCCTGCAGCCAGCCTACTCGAAGTACCTTTTGCTCTCTGAAATCCCTGGCAGCCAAGAAGATCCATGGTGAGAGGCAGTCCCACCCAGCAAGAGCCCAAAGAAAGACCCCCTCCACAATGAGAAAGGATGTGCCGATGAAGGAAAACATAGCCTAGATTACCAAGTAAAAGCCAGACACATCTGGCTGCTTCTCATCCTGAAGGAATCATGCAGCCCTCTGATAGAAGAGGGAGAACAAGAGTTCCCTTCTTGGTGGATATAACAGGAATCCATGGTTCCAAATGTATCACAGCTGCCCAGTCATTAAAATGTGACAGTGTTTGCAAAGAAACAATCATGCAGTGGATCCCCCTGAAGATCATCCTCTGTGAACTGGGAAACGTTTACTGTGGAAGTCTGAGCCAGACCTAGGAAACCTTAGGCCCATGAAGAACATGGCAGTCAAGAAAAGAAAAGCCCATGGGTGGGGACCTTAGCCCACGCAGCATCAATCCCTCCCACTTCCATGTGGCTCCGGGAATGAAAGCCCAAAGTGGGAGCTGGCCAGAATATCCACAGTTTGCACCCCAATGCATCCCCACACATTGGAGTGCTTTTTCCTTGGCAGGAGACCATGGTGTGGAAAACTTGTGCAATGAAAGAAATGCGGGAATAAAGTTGGAAGCACCTTCTTGTCACCTTTCTGCACTTCTCCTGCAGCTGAAGTTGTGGAACCCCATCCACTCCTTACCAGATTCTATTCTCCCCCATCTCTGACCTTATTGCTGCTAACACTCTGTATCCGGAATGAAATCCCAAGATGATGGAGGAGTGCCTGCCTCACACCATGAGGCACCTGCTCTGCTGGGAGCCTAATTTGAAGTGGATTCAAGGGTACCTGTGGACAGGACTGCTAGCGTCGGTCCTGGTTTGCCCACAGGACAATGAGGTCCCGAGAGGTATCTGCTCATGAGTGTGGCATGCTCTCCTTCTTTCTAGAAAAGTGGCTCCTTTGCAGGGGAAGGTGATTTGGACCCGTGCACGTTTCAGCCAGCTCCCCAACTTTACCATGGATTCAGGAGCCACAGGGAAAACAAAGGACAGCAGCTCCACAGCCCAGGTGGAGCCACAAAGAGAGGCACAGCAGAAGGTCAGCTGACTCAAAAGAAAAAACACTCCTGCGCATGAGCCACATTCCTTTCAGCAGACTCCATTTACATGCACTCACAGACACACAGACACACCCACACACACACACACTCAGCCACACACACACACCCAGACATCCGACACTTGCAACACTCCCATAGAAACACACAGCCCGACTGCTTCTGAGGCTGTGCGTTTCTGGTCTGCCAGAAAGGACCTCTGGGGAGAGAGCAGCCCTGGGGAACACAGGTGGGCTGTACCTAGAAATCATAGAGGGTTACCTTTCAAGGAGACTCACCCCTACACCATCTAGGCAGGCCTGAGGCATCCTGCGAATCCTTTTGGATCCTTAGAAATTTCGCAGCGTATCCTTGTGTCTCCGCTTGACCTTTCTTCAGGCTGGCTCGGCCCTGCCAATTCCTAGGATCGTGGGACTATCCCGTGGATCCCCCAGAGAAAACAGGCTAAAGTGCAACACGATGCACTTCCACAGAGGTCTCCTGCTCCGCCAAGCCGCAGGGACCCGTCGCCAGGCAACAGTGGCTTTCATTGTGAAGCGAGCAGTAGCTCTCTGCTTGCGCCTGACGCCCTGTGACTGGCGCATGCGCATTCGCGAGGCAGGCTCGGGCGCCTGGCTGTCAAGGCTGTCAACCTGCCTAAGCAGAAGAAAATGGTGGTGGCAGAGATGGCCTGGTCTTAGGAAAAATACTGCTTGAGACAAGCACTGGAGGACCTTAATACTCTCGACCATAGCTCCTCCTCGGGCATACTCCGTGGTCGGGTCCCACTGGAGGAGGAGGCGCTTGGACTGTGAGTTGGGCGCTGGATACTGCTCTTCTGATTCCTTTCGGGAAAAAGGCTGTGTGCAGGCATCGGGTCTCATGGGTCTCGGGATACAGTCTGGTGAGTTTTTGAAGTGTCTCTGTGTAATGGATTCATAGCTGAGGCCCCGAGCATGGTGTCAACGGAAGATTGCCGGGCCCTTGATCTCACTGCCTCCCTTCATTCTGCGCCTCCCAGGGGATCCTGCTTCTCAGCACGTCTGTGTGGGAAAGGCAAGAATCATGACAAAGTCAAGTCCAAGGTGAAGCAGAGGTCTCACACCTGGAACTCTCATCCCACGGGAGCAGATGAGGTTGAGAGGGCGGCTTAGAGGCCGTCAACAACCTATCTTCTCTGAAGCCTAGTACCTGAAGGCTTCCTCTACAAATAAGAACTTTGGTCTCACAATTCTTTATGTTAATGCAGACATTCCTTTTTGTTTATTCCAGGTCTTTAAATAAACTCAACCAATCGTCATTTTGAAAATCTTTAAATCTACCTATAAGCTGGAAGCCCCTGCTTCAAGTTATATCACTTTTCTGGACCAAACAAATGATTTCTTGAAGGAATTTGATTGAAATCTCCTGCCTCTCTAAAATGTATAAAACCAAGCTGCACCCAACCACCTTGGGTATGTTATCATTGGAAGGTATCTGAGTAACTGCTGATGCTTTCGTACACAACTGCAGCACCTTCAATTCTTGCCTCCTCAGAAGAAAGGATTCTACTGAGGATTATAAGTCAGAAGAAGAGACCAAGGTGAGTTTCAGGCTGGAGTGAATATTTATTTAAAAAGGATTTAGATTAGGAAGAAAAGGAAAATTCATTTGGAAGAGACCCAAGTGAGCACCTAAACATCAAGGGCTATGTTTAGCTTTGATTGTAGGACTTTATAGACTCTCCTTTTTAAAACTAGGAAACCTAATTAGATTTCAGGAAGAAATGTGGCACAAATAGAAACTGTCTGTAGCATATAACATAGGTGTTAGAGAAACAAATTTGAATTAGAAATCATTTTTACTCTTGCATTTTTGCTAAAAGCAAATCAATGCTTTACAAAACACTTTCCTCTAACAAAGGGGGCCAAATTTTTTAGATTGTAATTAGTCTATTTTTAATATCAAAGCTCAAGCTTTAGAAGGACTATTTTAAATAACTCACTTTTAATTTTAGTCAACTTGATCACACACGCAATTTTTTTCTCATAAATTCTCTTTTTATGAACTTTATCACAATGTACACAGACCATTTATGAAACGCTTAGACTTTCTGCCTGTCCTATACTTCCTCTTCCTTAAGTAACCCATTATTTTACTTCAAGATAAAAAATTAACCACACAAGATTCTTTCACATTCAAAATTATTCTCTTTTCTTCCTGTTTTATTTTTTAAAATTCATTTCAATAGCTTTAGAGGTACAAGTGGTTTTTGGCTCATGTGGTTAAATTGTATAGTGGCAAAGTCTGGGTTTTTAGTGTAGCCATAGCCTAAATGGTGGTACACGAAAAACCTCACCCCATTATCCTCTCCAGCCTTCCTGCCTTCTGAATCTCCAGTGTCCATGATTCTACCCCGTGTGCCTTTGTGTACTCATAGCTTAGTTCTCACTTATAAGTGAGAACATGCAATATTTGGTTTTCTATTTCTGAATTACTCCACTTAGAATAACTACCTCCAGATCCATCCAAGTTGCTGCAAAAGATGTTATTTTTTTCTTTTTTATGGCTGCAAGGTATTTCATAGTATATGTATACCATATTTTTTAATCCACTCATCGGTTGATGGGCACTTAGATTAACTCCATATCTTTACAATTGTGAATTGTGCTGTGATGAACACATGATGAACATACAACATCACATGCACATACACATGCACATCACATGAACATACAACATCACAACACGTGAGAATTATGGGAGTGTAGGGGTTCAGTCAGGCTGATGGGAAAAATTTTTAGCTGTAATAGCCACAAACCCTCTTGGAAGGCCTGAGAGTTTGCATATCTTCAGTAATAAATCTGGCTGAAGGCAGCCTAGTCCCCTTACGTTTAGTTAAGTAAATTAGAGTAGAAACAAAGGAATGTGGGGAAGTTATTTATCTAGCTTGTTTACTCATGTGGTTCTAAGACTAACCTTTGATCTACTGTGGGTGCTTAATTGCTTTCTACTCAGGAAGTCCACAATGTCAATTACCGTCTAGTGGTGTTGACTCACGCCTTTGTCAATTAGTCTTTACTGGATAAATGTGAGTCTCACTGGCTGGTCAGGGCCATGGTTACAACTGTTCACAGCACTCTCCTAGGAGTTTTTAAGTGGCCTGGATGCTCAGTCAAACTGGCAAAACAGAATATCTGTGTGTTAGTGTACTTTATTCATCCATCATTGAGTCAGGGTCTGCAGGACAGACCCCCGCAGCTGGTGCCCTGTGTGAGAAACACTGGGAAGGAAGTGCGATGGACCCCCCAAAACAGAGGTGGAAAGGACTGTATGGTCAGTGAGTAATAAGTAAGTCATTGGTGCCCACTTGGGATCTCCAAGTTCATGGGGGCTTGTTCAGACTGAGGTTTCATCATGGGATGACAGTTATCAGCTCAACAGAAACACTATATAAAAGTGTTAAAACAGCTGCTTAAAGCTAGTGGAACCTCAGTTTCGCAGGCTCAATTAAGGGAACTGATGCAAACTGTTGTAATGCAAAGCCCATGGTTCCTGTAAAAAGTCATGCTAGACATAAAGCTCTGGGAACAAGTGGGGAGAAATTTTAAACAATATTATGCACAAGGGCAATGTGTCCCAGTAACAGCTTTAATGCTATGGGCTTTAATTAGAGCAGCCCTTGTTCCATTGTACACGGAAGAGCCTAAAAAGGGGAAGGAGGAGGAAACATCACCTACTTTACTGACTCCTCTTCTCTCAGCCCCAATATCACCAGGCCAAAATAACAATGAGGAAATAAAGGTTTTGCCTGAGCCCCCTCATCCAATAGATATGAGAAAAGACAGGAGATACGCTACAGCTAAGAGATGCTGTTTTAGGCAAGCGGCATTAGAAGGAAGGCTCTTAGCTTGCCCAGTAATACCAGATCAGCAAGGCAATCACGTACATAAAGGGTTAAGAAAAGGCATTAGAGGCCAGAGCCTTGCAGCCAGGCAGGCAGTAAATAGAAAGAGAGGTTCAGCAGCAGGAAACCTCGTGGAACGGAGCCAGCAAATGCTCCTGGGAACTTGGCCTGTGAAGCAGCAGGCAGTAGCAGTTGGGAGGCCAAGCCCAGTGCCAAAGCTGGCCTGCTGGGGAGGGGCAAGAGGCACACGTGGGAAGGTCCACCCAGCCAGCAACAGCCGCCCAACTATAGGCGGAGGAAGCATCATAGAAAAAAAAAATTTGGCACAAATAGTGGCAGTGCCTAAGCACGCTTGATGCAGCCGCCACCCGGGGCCCACCTGCTCAGCTCTCCAGCTCTAGAAGTGGCCCACAGCAAGATTTCATGTGTTCCTCGAATACAAGCAACGTCCAGATTATAATTTTCTGCTAAGATTTAAGTAAAAGTTAAGAATTTGAAAGACACTTTTCTGATAATGGCCACTGTTATGTCTCTCCTATCCCTGATGTGGCTCTCTCAAGATCCAATTTGGGTGGAACAGTGGCCTCTGAAGGGAGAGAAATTGCAGAAGGCTCATGAATTAGTTGAAGAGCATTTAAAGGCTGGGCATGTAGACTTATCTAACAGCCTTTGGAATTTGCCTGTTTTCATCATTCCCAAAAAGTCTGGGAAATGGAGACTTTTGCATGACTTATGTGCTATTAATGCTAATTTACAGACTATGGGACCCCTTCAACAGGGCCTCCCCTCCCCCATGATGATTCCTCAAGATTGGCCTATAATCATTAGCAGAACAGGACAGAGAAAAATTTGTGTTTACAATACCAGCTATCAATAATGAAAAACCAGCTTGTTGATTTCATTGGAAAGTGCTTCCTCAAGGAATGCTAAACAGTCCTACCATGTGTCAGTATCATGTAAATCAAGCTTTAATTCCTAGTAGAAAAGAATTTCCTGATGGTAAAATTATTCATTTTATGGATGATATTCTATTAGCAGCTCCACCTGAGCCAATACTTTTAAATTTATATTCCTCTGTCATAAAGGATACACAGCTAAGAGGCTTAATTATAGCACCTGAGAAAGTACAGATGTTTTCTTGGAAATATCTTGGGTATATACTAACTTCCCCATCAGTGAGACCACAAAAGGTTAAATTAAATGCTAGCAACTTACCTTAAATGATTATCAAAAATTACTGGGGGCGGGGGAGGATATTACTTTGCTCTGCCCCACTTTGGGAATTCTTACTGATAAACTACAAAACCTGTTTTCTATCTTAAAGGGCAATCCAGCTCTGGATTCTCCCAGATATTTAACCCCTGCTGCAAAAAGGGCAATTGAAGAAATCGAACAAGTCATCTCTCAGAGGCAGCTAGATTGCATAGACCCAGGCTTCTTGGTTCAGTTGTTTATCTTTCCCACCAAACACTCCCCTTTTGGGTTAATAGGACTGATGACCTCAGGGCTGTGCTTCCCAGAATTGAGTTTTTTCCTCACATACCAGGACTAAAACACTATCTCCCTATATTCAGTTAATTACTAAAGTCATCTATGCAGGTTGCAAATGTTGCAGTCAGCTGCTAGGTTATGATCTTGATATCAGGATTTCTTTAAGTAAAAAGCAATTCAAAGCAGTGTTGCCCTTATCAATACATCTGCAAATAGCTTTATCTGATTACACAGGGCAAATAGAGCACATCCTGCCTGCTGATAAACTCCTTCATTTCCTTTTTTTTTTTTTTTTTTTTTGAGATGAAGTCTTGCTCTGTCGCCCAGGCTAGAGTGCAGTGGCACGATCTCGGCTAACTTCAAGCTCCACCTCCTGGGTTCATGCCATTCTCCTGCCTCAGCCTCCTGAGTAGCTGGGACTACAGGCGCCCACCACCACGCCTGGCTAATTTTTTTTTTTTTTTTTTTTTTTTTTTTTAGTAGAGATGGGGTTTCACCGTGTTAGCCAGGATTGTCTTGATCTCCTGACCTCGTGAACTGCCCGCCTCAGCCTCCCAAAGTGCTGGGATTACAGGTGTGAGCCACCACACCTGGCCAAACTCCTTCATTTCTTATCTCACACTCTGGTAATTTTGCCCACAAAAATAGTTCACTCCCCCATACCTAATGCTTTAGATGGGTCTGGTAAACATGGAAAAGCAGCAGTCTGGTGGAGACCACACAATTCAATCACTTGATCTGTGTTTACTAGCACTCAGAGAGCTAAGATTCAGACTCTGATACTGGCCTTAGAAACTTTTTCCACTCAGCCCATAAATATTATAAGACACTCAGCTTACTCTATTTACTACAAAACCTTGAGACAGCTTTAATTAAATTCACTCTGGAGCCAGCCCTGTGCACTCTTTTTCCCTGACTTCAGAAATTGCTAGATCAACGTACACATCCTATTTTTATTACACATATTCAAGCCCACAGCTCACTGCCTGGCTCATTGGCTTATGGCAATAATCAAGCAGACCTTCAAGTTATGACATCACTGCTTGACCAAGCCACAGAATCACATCAATTTTTCCACCAAAATTGGAGAAACTTATCTAAACAATTTCAACTTACACAAAGACTGGCTAAACAAATTATCCTGCAATGCCCAAATTGCCAGCTCACAGGCATATCCCCTCCTTCAAAGGTTTTAACCTTAGAGCACTAGAACATAATCAATTATGGTAAACATACGTTACACACATCCCTGAATTTGGAAAACTTAGATATGTACATGAATCCATTGAAACCAACACTCATTTAATAAGTGCACATGCTTTCCCTAAAGAGTCAACTTGATATGTCATTAAACATCTTCTTTTAACTTGTGCATTTATGGAATGGCCCTAAAAAATCAAAACAAATAATGGTCCAGCTTATGCCAGCTCAAGAGGGAAAGAATGAGTAACAAAAAGTCTAGAAGAGAGAGCGATCATAGAGCGACACAAAAAGTAACACAAAGAGGAGAGGTAAAGTAGGAAGAGGAAAAGGAAATTTTAAGAAAGTTATAGATATAAGAATGCACTTTTAGTAAGGAAGGTTATAAAACAAAGTCAGAAAGTTAAGGCATGGCAAAGATTGTCTGTGAAAGTCATGAAAAATGTTGTATATGGAAATATTGTATAATTTTTGTTTTGAATGTCTAAGCAAGTTTTGTTTTTCCAAGCCAAACTATATCCAGCTTTATTAAAGATACTTTCCATAAACAATCACGGTATTTCAGGCAGGACATGGGCAGATAATCGTTAACAGTATACAACAACTTTCAAACTCCCTTCTTCAATGGACTACCAAAAATCAGAAAGCCACTATAAAACCCAATGAAGTCTTCATCTGATGCTCTGAACGGGGAAAGTTTAGAGTGAGGGGTGACATTTCACATTTAGCATATTGTTTAACAAATTTTTAGAAGCCGACCCTGACTTTCAGGAAGTGAAATGAAAATGGCAGAATTTATCTGAAGATCTACAATCTAGAAATGGAACCACTACTCTTTTGACAGGTGCCATCTCAGTGGCATCACTGGAAAGTCCAGATTGCCTGACACACTGGTAACCAATGACTAGGGGTCAGGTCCCAACAGATGTCTGGGCTTAAGGGAGTTAAGTCTATGCTGAAAGATGGAAAGGGAGAAGAGGACATAAAAACAAATTTGTTTTTCTATACCACAAGGCTTTTGTGCCAAGGTGGCCATGTGTGTCAAAGTCAGGGAATCCCTCCTCCTGGGAGCCAAGAGGAAGTCTCTCAAAACTAGAAGGGAAAGGTGTTTTCTCCACATCAATGCAGCTTTGGAGACCTTCTGTTAGTGACATATGCCCCTTCCCCCAAAAGCAACAATGAAGTGTTCTGTGTACTAACATAGCTTTAAAAAAAAGGTAAAACAAAATTCTGCATTTTTATAAAACTTGATAAAAAATAGTATTTCAAACTGTACAGTCACCAGAAGTACACAGTTATCAAAAATGCACACACTTCCCTTGGCATCTCCAGCACCTTCAGCTTTGTGTGCCTGGTCTTTTTGGCATCTCCATATTCTGCAAGGTTATTCCCCTCTGTGCCAGCATCAGCTTTTCCCTTTTTCCCTTTGGGTACCTTCTCTCCCTTCTTTGCAGGGGCCTTTCTAGGCTTGGGCTGTCTGGCTTTGGAGGAGGAGGTTTAGCAGACAACCTTGCGGATCTTCTCTGTGGTTCATCCTTCACCTTGGCTTTATCTCCCTTAGCATCCCCTTCAGCCTTTCTCTTGGGCATGGTGGCAGTGGCGACAGTGGCGGGAGGTAGGTGCTGGATGCAGGATGCAGCGGCACACGGGCTTTGGTCTGTCGGGGGGTCTTTCTCGCCTCTTCTTTTTCACACTCTAAGCAAGTTTTAAAATGTTAATTGTAAAAAAAATTCTGTGTGTAAACATATTGGCTAAAGTTAAAGAAGTTTCATCCAGTTTTTCTGTAAACTAGACATTAAAATAAATCACAGCAGGTTTTTCTTAAAGCACTAACCTGCTCTTTAGAAAGATTATAAAAGGTGTCTTAGCACAGGCACCACCCCTAGAATTTCCAGTACACCAGCACCAGCCTGGAGACTACGTCCTCATTAAAGGATGGAAAGAAAAAAAAAACTCAAACCAGCCTAAAAAAGACCCTACTATAGGACCAGCAGCCCCAGGCAATGCTGCTTCTGCAGAAGACACACAATATAAAGAAGCAAAAGGTTGAGCCAGAAATTTTAATCCTTTTTAATTCTCCCACTTTGTCTGCAACTGGTACCTGCTACACTCTATTAAGCTCATTTCTTAAGTCCGCCTTTTTTCTGCCCTGTTACTTTAAAAAACACCCCCTTCTCATCTTCTAACAACGTGACTGTTTAACTAAAAAAAATTAACATAATGGAGTTCCTCATTAATGGCATACAATAAACTGAGATGCCAAATAACACTACAGTCACTCTTTGACTGGAAAAGAATGTTGCTAACTGTACACATGATGGTTTTATATTATTTGCTAATTCTAGGATGCAAAGCTGGAATAAGAGCAATGACTGCCACACCTGACAGACCTGTCGCTGAACACATCTGCACTCTCCAATCCAAAAGACCTGATGCAGAAAACAAAAAAGGGGAGATGTGGTGGTTTAGTCAGGCTGGTTGGAAAAAAAAATTAGTTATAATAGCCACAAACCCTCTTGGAAGGCATGAGATTTTGCATAACTTTGGTAATAAATCTGGCTGAAGGCAGCCTAGTCCCCTACATTTCATTAAATAAATTAGAGTAGAAACAAAGAAATGTGAGGAAGTTATCTAACTATCTTGTTTAGTCATGTAGTCCTAAGATTAACTTTTGATCTGCCATGGGTGCTTAATTGCTTTCTACTTGGAAGGTTGGCAATGTCAATTACCCTCTAGTGGTGTTGACTCAAGCCTTTGTCAATTAGTCTTGACTGAATAAATGCGAGTCTCACTGGCTGGTTGGGGCCATGGTCACAACTGTTTACAGCATTCTCCTGGGAGTCTGTAAGCGGTCCGGATGCTCAGTCGAATTGGCAAAACAGAATATCTCTGTGTTAGTGTACTTAATTCTTCCATTGTTGAGTCAGGGTCTGCAGGCAGACCCCTTCAGAGGAGTTACAATTCAAGATAAGATTTGGGTGGGTATACAACCAAACCATGTCACCAGGAAACTGTCCTCTTTTCTTGCACTTGTCATCTGCTGTCAAAAGCTAGCTAGGTCCCAGGCAGCCTGTGCTTAGAACACAAAACTACCACAAGCCACAAGCCTTCTCACTAAGACAGAAACCATGGCTTTTTTTTGTTGAAGGTCTTTCAATTGAATGACTTATTTCACACCCCATTTTAAGTCTTCCCATTATTAACACATATGCAGCCACCTCCTGACAGCCTGTCTCCAGCTTGTGTTGGGCTCTCAGGGGAGCAGAGACCCTTCAGTGAGACTCAGGTCTGTTAGACTAGCCAGGAAGCATTCCTGCCACATGGACGCTGACACAGCACTTCCAAAGGTGTTCTCTAATTACTGGTTTCTCAAGACGGTCAAATAAAATCTGCCTAAAGCCCCTGGAAAACTGTGGGCTTTCACTCTCTTAAGACTCACAATAGTGATTTAAATATTCTGAACTTATTTGACCTTAGAACCCATTCATCAACTGGTATTTATTAATATTTTGAGCAAACTGTGTTCTACAGAATATTTTCTGGAAATCATTGAATTTTTTCATCTGAAATCTCAATTAAAGTTTATGTTCCAGACAATATAAAAGTGAGTAAAATGTGCTTTCTAATTTGTTTGGCCCCAACATCCAGGAGTTTATTCCCTCCACCCAAATTTTCAAAGTAAGAAAAAGTGCTGTTTTTGCCACACAAATTTCCTTGTGCTCATGGCTGAAATGTGCATTCTGCTATCTTTGTCAGTGCCAGGCATCTAAAGGTCTGCCTCTCCTTCTTCCTTACTTACCCAGCTAACTTCTGCCATCTCCTCCTTCAGTCAACACTTCTTTTACAAAGCCTCGCCTTCACCTCCACTTCCCACCACCTAACCTACCTCCTTCCCACACTGGATTGAGTGCACTCCTCTATACTTATCTCCACCATTCAACAAATAAAACTAAAGAGATAGTTTCTTCATCACTTGCTTGGTGTAACGCACTTAAAGCTGCTGAATAAAAACTTGTGAATGAATCTCTACAAGTATGTTGGCTCCTTAAAGGCAATATTATGCTCCTCTTTCTAGCTCTGATTTTATACAAGTAAATAATAGCTGCCTAAGAAATGCATTTGATTGACCAATGCTTATTGTACATATTATATAAACTCCCAGGTTCTAACATGTTATCAAAAGTCAAATATCAACTACTTGATAAACCAATTTATACCTTAATAAAAAATAATTGGGACAGAGAAAGAGGCTCTTCCAGTTTAACAGGTGAATTTTAAATATATGAGAGATATTCTTCCTGAAGACATTACTCCACATTTGTTACCTAATTTATAAGATTTTTACAAGAAAAGGGAGGAGATAGTCACATTTTCAGCCACCACCCTGTGGTTTCGATCTGGATAAGGCTCCCCCGCCCTTGTGCAACAAAAAAGGAGCCCACTTGTGTGTCAAAAGTCCCCACAGGGCTCTATCCTTCAGGCTCAATTGGGTTCCAATAACCTTTAGCATTTCAGCACTCTGGATAGATTTTTTTTTTACATTTTGTAAAAATTAGAACATTCTAATTACTCAAAAATTAACTTCATATTCATCAGCAGTTATTGCTCATTTCTTTCACCACCTTCCCCACCTTTTTTTCTGCCCCTCAAACTCCCCAGCCTAAGGCAATCTATTGCTTATTTCCTAATTATTTCCTTTGTTTTCCTCTGGTGAATTTTTAGAGTTTTGTTAATATTATGAATACTGGCCTTTATTACATATGTGCACATATCCAATAAAATAAGTGGTTCTTGTTTTTTCTTAAAGAAAGTATTTCCAATTACTTTCTCCCATTCTATTTTTTCTCTTTTTTATTCAATTTATTTTACATATTTTTTTGACAGCAGATGACAAGTGCAAGAAAAGAGGACAGTTTCCTGGTGACATGGTTTGGTTGTATACCCACCCAAATCTTATCTTGAATTGTAACTCCTCTGAAGGGGTCTGCCTGCAGACCCTGACTCAACAATGGAAGAATTAAGTACACTAACACAGAGATATTCTGTTTTGCCAATTCGACTGAGCATCCGGACCGCTTACAGACTCCCAGGAGAATGCTGTAAACAGTTGTGACCATGGCCCCAACCAGCCAGTGAGACTCGCATTTATTCAGTCAAGACTAATTGACAAAGGCTTGAGTCAACACCACTAGAGGGTAATTGACATTGCCAACCTTCCAAGTAGAAAGCAATTAAGCACCCATGGCAGATCAAAAGTTAATCTTAGGACTACATGACTAAACAAGATAGTTAGATAACTTCCTCACATTTCTTTGTTTCTACTCTAATTTATTTAATGAAATGTAGGGGACTAGGCTGCCTTCAGCCAGATTTATTACCAAAGTTATGCAAAATCTCATGCCTTCCAAGAGGGTTTGTGGCTATTATAACTAATTTTTTTTTCCAACCAGCCTGACTAAACCACCACATCTCCCCTTTTTTGTTTTCTGCATCAGGTCTTTTGGATTGGAGAGTGCAGATGTGTTCAGCGACAGGTCTGTCAGGTGTGGCAGTCATTGCTCTTATTCCAGCTTTGCATCCTAGAATTAGCAAATAACATAAAACCATCATGTGTACAGTTAGCAACATTCTTTTCCAGTCAAAGAGTGACTGTAGTCTGAGGCTGTGTGTAACCCTTGAGGTCGCCCAAGCTAAGCACTCCAGAACATACAGGGAAATTTGAGGTCTCCTCTTCTATAGGCCCATCCTCATTAATATCTCATCTTAGCTTCAAGTGCCCAGTGTGGTGGATCCAGAACCCAGGATGCCAGAACTTATACTTTTGAGGTTGCCCTAGGGAGGGTCTCAGTCAGGCAGATGCCTAGGAATAAATGGAATTATAAAGTGTGTAACTTTTTTTATTGTCTTTTTTTACTCAGTATAATTTCCTAGAGACGTTAACATTTTTGTGTGTTTCAAAGCTTGTTCTTTCTTATATTGCTCAGTGGTCTCCATGGTATGAATGTGCCACACTCTGTGTAACTGTTTACCCATCCAAAGACATATCTGTTGTTTCCAGTTTTTGGCAATTATAAGCAAAGCTGCTGTGAAAATTCATATATGGATGTTCTATAATTGACTGTGGTGATGGCTGCACAACTGTGCACAAACTAAAATCATTGGATTATATACTTTAAATGGGTACATTATTTGATAAGCGAATTATAGCTAAATAAAATTCTTTAAGCAAAGAAAATGGGCATAAAACATACATAGACATTACACTTAAGATAATATGCAGATGTCATATAAACACAGTAAATGATGTTCAACATAGTTAATCATTAAATAAGTAGGTATTAAAACACAAATGAAACATCAATACACACTCAGCAGAGTGGCTAGGATAAAAATAGTAGTAATGATAAAACCAAATGTAGAGGAGAAGTGGAGACTGGATCATTCATTCTTTGATGATGGGAGTGTTAAATAATACAGCCACTACGGAGAGCAGTTAGGCAGTTTCTAATAAAATTAAATATGCAACTACTCCGTGACCAGCAATTGCAGTCCTGCATATTTCTCAGAGTAACAAAACATTTATTCACACAAAAATCCATATATGAATTTTCACAGCAGCTTTGCTGATAATTGCCAAAAACTGGAAACAACAGATATGTCTTTGGATGGGTAAACAGTTACACAGAGTGTGGCACATTCATACCATGGAGACCCACTGAGCAATATAAGAAAGAACAAGCTTTGAAACACACAAAAATGTTAACGTCTCTAGGAAATTATACTGAGTAAAAAAAGACAATAAAAAAAGTTACACACTTTATAATTCCATTTATTCCTAGGCATCTGCCTGACTGAGACCCTCCCTAGGGCAGCCTCAAAAGTATAATTTCTGGCATCCTGGGTTCTGGGTCCACCACATTGGGCACTTGAAGCTAAGATGAGATATTAATGAGGATGGGCCTATAGAAGAGGAGGTCTCAAATTTCCCTGTATGTTCTGGAGTGCTTAGCTTGGGCGACCTCAAGGGTTACACACAGCCTCAGAAAGAGTATTTTTTTTTTTTTTTTGAGACGGAGTCTTGTTCTGTTGCCCAGGCTGGAGTGCAGTGGCACGATCTTAGCTCACTGCAAGCTCCGCCTCCTGTGTTGACGCCATTCTTCTGTCTCAGCCTCCCGAGTAGCTGGGACGACAGGCGCCCGCCTGGCTTTTTTTTTTTTTTTTTTTTTGGAATTTTAGTGGAGATGGGATTTCACCATGTTAGCCAGCATGGTCTTAATCTCCTGACCTCGTGATCTGCCTGCCTCGGCCTCCCAGAGTGCTGGGATTACAGGCGTGAGCCACCGCGCCCGGCCAGAAAGTGTCTTTTGACCCTAGTGTTTGATCAGTGACTCACTTTACTCTGAGTCATTAAAAAAATGGTTTCTACTTCCTGGAGGTCCCTTGGAGTAGAGACCACCCTGGGGGTTTGAGAGACTGAGAACCTAAGGGAGGCTTCTGAGGTCCTTCAGATTGCCCTCGAGCCTGTGGGTTCCCCTCATTTACTTCCTTCGGCTACGAGAGAGTCAGTTCCCTGAGGACACCAAAAAAGGTGAGAGTTTCGTGTCTGGTTTTCCTCTCTGGGGCTGCAGTGCTAGCTGTGAACACCAGGGGAAGAACTGTGTCTACTGTGCTCAGTTGACAACTGGAGCTAGGGAAGAGATCTTGCCACTCTTTCCTTGACTCCCATCTGTCTTGCACCTCCTATTACTAGCATCCGTCTCCACAATGTGTGCTGCTTGGAGGTGGGTATAAGTCTCCAAGATAATCTCATTTTTTCATTCAGCAACTGTGCCCTGAGCACTCACCCTGTGTAAGGCTGTGTTAGGCCTGGCTGCAGTACTGAAAATGTCAAACATGGTCCCTGTCCCGCAGGAGCTCATGGTCTGAGTGGAGATGGGCAAGTGCACGAAAGCTAATACATGTGAAAGAGAAGAGCAAGCACTACAGCAAAATAAAGCAGTTGCTGTGAGGAGGCTGGGGACCACTAGGTGTGCGGGTCTGAAAGGCCCTGCTGAGGTGACATTTTTGCTGTGACCAGAAAGACAAGAGGAGCCAGCCTGCACACGTCTGAGTCTTCAAAGTGCACACACTCAGTGTCAGAAGAGAATGTGGCCAGAGTATAGGTTGGAAAGGCAGCCAGGGTGGCTGGAGAGAGGTCAGGAGAAAAGGAGGGGAGAGGGGGAGAGAGGGAGAGGTTAGCACCAGGCCACAAGGCCTGGAAGACTGTATTGGGTACCTTATATATCACTGTAAGACAGCATTACCCCAATCTTAGTAGCCTAAAAAAACATTTACTATGTCACAGTTTCTGTGGATTTGGTTCAGGCAGGTTTCAGCTGGGTGTAACTGGCTCAAGATTTCTCAGGTGGCTGGGGCTGTGGTATCAACGGAGGTCCAACTGGGCAGGATCCATTTATGAGACCATTTATAAATTATTGAAATAAATCTGTTTACACCGAGGGTCTAAGTTTTTAATTTTTTTCTAAGGGCTGGGGCCTCTGTCAATTTTTTTGCCACTGAGTTCTCTCCACAGGTCAGCTCAATATATCTGACCTTATTTCCCAATAGTGAGAAATGAGAGATAAAGGGAAGGAGAGGGAAAGGAAGAGGGAGAGACAGAGAATGTAAACATGAACACAACCGGAGAGAGGGAGCTGAACAGAAGTCACATGCTTTTCATTATCCTATTTTGGAAGTTACATCACTAAGCTCAATTAGCAAGTCACTGAATTTAATCTACTTTTGAAGACAGGGGATTGCACAAGGATTTGTAGACAAGGAAGTGGGGATGGCTGAGAGCCACTGTGGGGGCCACTCACCACAGAAGCTGGGATAAAACGCTTAGGCCATATTCTAAATATAATGGGAAGGCATTGGAAGGCTTTATGCCGGAAAGGTGATATCTGAATTTCAGTTAATTTCAACCTTCACATGGTGCATACTAAGATACCATGCTAAGAGGAAAAGTGACTTTCCCAGCATCACAAATCAGAACCCAGAATATGTTATATTCTATGGTAAGTCAAACTTTTTTTGTAATTTTTTCCATCTTTAACTATGTACATTGGCAAATGTGATGCCAGCCCACGGGTTGCATAGGTATTGCAGGTATTTGTAGGTACATACACCTGATGCCATCCCTAGGAAGCAGATGCTAGAATGAGCAGGTTGGGAGACTAGAGAGTTCCTAAGAGGCACAATGACTTGTCCAGAGTCACAGAATTGGAAAGAAGAATCTAGGTCCAAGCCAAGCTCTGCCTCCTCAAAACGAGGCCCTGGCTGCACCCAAGCTTTGCCCAGGGGCTGCAGAATGGGCTGTATTGTTGTGACGGTGTGCAGGTGTAACATGGAATGTGGGTGGATGGTGAGCAGTCAGCAACAGGGAGGGGTTCTTGGGGAAGTCTCATCTGAGGAGGAAGTCCAGGTAAGAGGACCCAAAGAAGTGATCTCACTTGACAATAAACCCCAAGAGAACTTAGAACCCTAGTATCCAAAAAAAACACATTCTAGAGGCAGCCCCCCACTCCCCACCACCCAGCTCACCTGTTCAGTGATATCTGAGATGGCCAAATGTTCTTCTGCAGTATCCTGACTTCCTGCAGCTCAGGCCTTAGAACACCCTAGAGTGTGAGGCTTTTCTGACTCTGCAAATGTTTGCTCAGCCCTTACACCTAACTTCAGGCATTTTCCTGGAAGGACTCTAAAGTAACATGGGGCAGCCCAGGGTAGGCCAAGCTAGACAAAGCTACCACTCTGATCCCACTGGGGCAGCCACACACTGGGTGTGAAGGCAGGGAAGTGGGAGAGTGGGGGCATGAGAAATTGACATACCCTGGACAGGAGGAGATTGTTGGGAAGGTAGAAACCTGGGCTGCCTGTGATGTTCACACCCCAGGTCACGGCTGGCAGGGTGAAAAGTGAGTGCTGGGGTGGTGCCCATCTACCTTGATGTTCATCCAGAGCCCTTGCACTCTGAGCTCATTTCCTCCTGGGTGAAGTCTGAACAGTAGCAGTAGCAATGACAGCCAGGCAAGGTGCTGATGCTTCCAGGAATGGCTACCACTCCCTGTCTTTGCAGAGTTTCATGTGGGAGCTTGGCCAAACATGTTCAACAGGGCCATTTCTCTCTCTTCTGGTCAGCGGCAGATGCATCATGCAGTTACCAAGGGCCAGTGCTGACTCAGGGTGAATGTGGATGAGGGGGTGCTACACAACCAGGGCCTACAGATGGTCAGTGAAGGCCTCCTGTCCAGACACTACCAAGGCATCTCTCAGAGCTCTGACCCAAGGATTTCCCTCTTGAGTGACCTGCAGGCCCAACCTCCAGGGGTCTGGACCTCCTCCCTTCCTCCACCCATGCTGTCTAACCCCAGACTGGGCCAGGAGCAAAATCAGTTTGCACATGTTTGTAGAAATATCTGAGAAAATTCTTTATATTGTTCTTACTTCCTTTCATTACCAGGAGTGTTTGCATTTTGCTAGGGTTTATTCTTTTTACTGCAGTGTCCCTCCCACACATACTCTCACTTATTCCACAATGGCTCCCTAGTATGACTCACACTGGAGATCCAGCCCATTTCTTCTTTCAAGCTGGAGGCTCCTAAGATGTCAAAACACTCAGACACTTGATGGTGACAAGAACACAGAGGGCCCACTGAGAAAGAAAGGGTCACTCCCGGTGAAGAAGTGGGCCCAGCCTCCCTGATACACTCTGCACTCCATGTTAATGTGGTCACCTTCTCCTCAGGGCATCTGTGTGAACCTCATGAAACTCCATCCTACAACCATTGTACTTCCACAGGTGTGCAGTTTCTGCTGAAAAAGAGACTAGCTTTGTGAGGCAGTTATTTTTAACAAATGCCTGGAGTCTCTTTTTTTCATAGTAATCATAATGAGGAAAACATAAATTGAAGAAATTATACCTAAATTAACTGTCACTCTTCTCACTCCTCACTTCTCAACAGACCTAATTCCCAGCCAAGGAAACAGACCCATATGGTGGGTAGAAAGACCTTGGTTTACTCAGACACCTGTATTACAGATTCAGCTTCTCAGCTTGGGAAGTTACAACTATTAATAAGTACCCCACGTAGGCTCAGAAAGAATCACTTCATTTGATCTGGAGACTCCAGGAAGATACACTATGGATAAATCTGAATGCAGATGGAGAAGGTGATTGGAGGTTGATGATTTACACAGGCAGAGCAACATCACTCAATTCCTACATAAGGAGAGAAAGGGTTTAAGGAAAACCAATGGGGAGGTTAGATATCATTATATCTTGTCCTTCAAATGGTGAACAGCCTTGGCTTCTTCCTCTGGTTCCACTTCTCAGCAGGTCTGAGTGGAGTGCGCTGAGCTCAGGAGAAGTAAATTCGACCCTGGAGGCATGGAGAGGTAAGCAGGGCTGACTTCCCTTCTATCCTCTATATAAACATCAGAGATGTTTCAGCTTCTTTGTCCAAAAGAAATTTACCATCCAAAATTTAAATCCACTTAAGGCTAAATATTTTATATTTCAAAAACCTTATAAGTTGGAGAAACTGGTATTTTAGAAGTGAAATGAGATCAGTATGTTGAAGAGATATCTGCACATCCCTGTTTATTGCAACATTATTCTCAATAGCCAAGTCATGTAATCAATCTCAGTGTCCATCAGCGGATGAATGAAGAAAATATGTTATATATAAGTAAGGAAATATTATTTTGCCATGAAAAAGGAAATCGTGTCATTTGAGACAATGTGGGTGAACCTGGAAGACATGAAGTTAATGAAAATAAACCAGACACAGAAAGACAAATACTGCATGATCTCATTTAGATGTGGAATCTAAAAGGTCAACTTCATAGAAACAGAGAGTATAATGGTGGTTACTAGAGGCTGGAGAGGATGTGGAGGATTGAGGAGATGTTGGTCAGATACAATATTTCACTTGGACAAGCACGATAAATTCCAGAGATCTATTTTACAACATGTTGAGTATAGGTAATAAGAAAGCATTGTATACTTGAAAAGCCATAAAGCTAAAACAGAATGAATATTAAGACTTCTCACCAAACATGCACATACACACAAATAAACAGTGAGTTAATGGATATGTTAACTAGCTTGATTTAGCCAATCCCAAAATCACGTATACTTCAAAAAAAAATGATATTGTACACCCTAAATATATACAATTTTTATTTGTTAATTAGAAATAAATAAAACAACTTTTATAAAGGAGAAATTTAAAAACAAAGCTGTTAGAAATTATTAGTTACTGATATTAAAAATTAAATGGAAGAATGGAAACATCAAAGAAATTTTTCAAAGCGAGTGTATGCAAAGAGGGCTGCATACCATCTCCCAGATGAATGGCGACAGAAATGGAAATGAAATTGGGTTCAAGTGAAGTCCAAGTGTAACGGCACACTGCAGGGTTCAGCAGGTGACATTCTAGTTTTCATTCCCAGCAGAGACCACCCCAGCCCTGGCTTAGTAATAAGCTGCTCTCAGGACCCTTGTGGAGAGCCCCATGCCCCTGCTGCCAAGTCAACTTGCAGGCCTTGCCCCACTGCGCACACGGCTGCTCTGCTGGTAGAAAAGCTGTGGGCCAGGCAGGGTTGGTGGCAGCACCTGTGGTCCCAGCTCCCCAGGAGGCTGAGGCAGGAGGATCGCTTGAGGCAAGGAGGTTGAGGCTGCAGTGAGCCGAGATCGTGCCACTGCACTCCAGCCTGGACGACAGAGCCAGACCCTGTTTCAAAAAGAAAAAAAGAAAAGAAAAGAAAGAGAAAAGAAAAGTGCTGTGGACTCTACTGTTTTCAACCAGTTAAGAAGAAAACATGTCAGCATTCAGTGTCAGCTCACTCACAGTTCTGGGCTTCTGCCTTGAATTCTGCAACAGGCTTGAGTAGGTGAAGTAGGCAGGTCCTCCAGACCCCTAACCACCCAAATGGCCCCTTGGGACTGGAGTCTGTTGGGAGGAGAGAGCGTCTGACCAGTGGGCGAGAGACTCTGCCTGCGTTTCACAGGCCATGCCCCTCTCCAGGGTCGCCCCACCCCTCTCCAGACCCCACCCAGCAGGCCAATCCCTCATGGCCAGTCTCCCCACCAACCTTGCTCTCCCTCAGCCCCTGGTGGAACTCAGCTCCCTGCAGACTTGGAGGCAGCTGCTGGAGAAGTTTGCTCACCCTCAGAAATTAGCTTCTTTCTGGTTAGCTGAAACCTGAACTTTTTGGCTTCCATCGCCATCTTCTAGGTAGTTGCCCCAGGTGCTGCGTTCTCCTGGTCCTGGGAGTCTGCAGATCCCACTTGGCTCCTGAGACTCCTTCCCCCTCTCCCCAGGCATCCTCTTTAAAGCCACTGCCTCAGGAGACCCTGAACTTATTTTCACAGTAATTTTCATAACTTTTCCATATTTTCCAGTGCTAATACTTCTCCTCAAGTTCATGTTTTTCACAGTTTAACGTAATTTTCTGAAAAAGAAGTAAATGCTTGATATCAATGTGATTAAAACCACAATAGAGCCCAGGCATGGTGGCTCACGCCTGTAATCCCAGCACTTTGGGAGGCCGAGGTGGGCAGATGACCTGAGGCCAGGAGTTCCAGACCAGCCTGGCCAACATGGCAAAATCCCGTCTCTACTAAAAATACAAAAATTATCTGGGCATAGTGATGTGTGCCTGTAATCCCAGCTACCTTGGAGGCTGATGCAGGATAATTGCTCAAAACAGGAATTGGAGTTGCAGTGAGCTGAGATCTTGCCATTGCACTCCAGCCTGGGTGACAAGAGCAAAACTCCATCTCAAAAAACAACCACCACAACAACAATGACAAAACAAAAACAAACAAACAAACAAACAAAAAACCTCACACACTATAGAAACGTCTGTCCTGCTCAGGAGGGTGAAATGTGGCCTGGAACCTTTAGACAGCGTGGGTGCCTCTCTCCTGACGTCTCTTCCTCACCTCCCTGCCTGCCCCAACACACACTAATCACAGAGTCACCGGAAGCTGGGAGGACAGAGCCCAGACCTCAATCTCAGCACAGAGCAGGGGCAACTCTGCACTGAGGAGGGTTACCCAGCTCTGACAGGAGTGTCCAGAGAAGGAAGAAGACTGCAGTTTTGGGGTTAAGGCTGAAAAATGGGAGGGAGACTGGGAAGCTCAGGATCAGGAGAAAAAATCAGATATGTATCTATCTCAGCGAGCAGAGGGGTAACTGAATAGAACGAGAGGCAGGTTTGCCCTAAGTAGTTTCCAGCTTGAGTTTTCCTTAGTAATTTTGGGTGCCCAAGATACCTTCCTTTCACACTCTTGATTAATACTTGAGATTTTTTGGTAAATACTCTGTTTCTTTCAGGTTTAATATGCACTGAATTTGTGTAATTAAGACCTGTTTTCATTTAAATGCTTTGTTTTTCGTTACCTCCCTGAATACACACATAGTTTACTATGGCAGGCATATTTCCAGTGCAATGTTTTATTCCCAAATAAATATCTCTTCTTTTGGACAGCCTCTCTATATTTGTGTTTAGGCTTGCATATATAGTGTTAGCAATGAGACCTGAGAAAGATCGCTACAGAGGAAATGAGCAGATCCTAAAACTAATGTGTAATACACACTGGAGGCCTGTGAACTTGCCATTTCTGCCCTTGTGAGTCTTCTCTGAGCTTGAGCTTCCCTCCTTTATGTAGAGGCTTTTTGATATTACTTAGAATCTAGTTTGGCTAAAGCCTCATTATTTTTAATGTTATTTATTTATTTTTTCTCTTGCTTGTTTCTGGAACTTTTCTAATAGCAAATATAAGCATTCTGGATTATGGACACTGGATGGCTAATTTAAAACCACTGGGGAAGTGGTCACCATCTAAAACACTGGTACAAACTTTAGATATTATGTGACAGATTATAGAATTTTCTTTGCTCTTCAGAGATTAATAATAAACAGAATGGGATTCTCAAATATTAAGGTATGCCAGGTTTTCTGGGACTTCTGTTAGCTACATATTACAGCTCTGTTTATGCATATTTATTAAACGATAGACAATATTACATCAAGAAAAATCTAGAGCTCAAATGGTTGTAATTAGAAAAACCTACCGTGGTACCCTACCTTGTTTTAACCCGATTGTCTCTCTTAGCCAAGAGAGCCAGACACACTCCATTTTTGTTTCCTCACTTGCAGCCCCCTTATCCTCCCTCCCTTAAGGACATAACTAGTGCAAGATGACTCCAAGCACGTCCAGGAATGTGCTTACTGATAAGATATTGAGACAAGCTGAACCAGCAGTTCCTGGGGATGTGCTCAGAGGATGGTACCCAAAGCCCCTGCATTATCTCTTTGTGATAGTTTGAGCCCCTGCACCTGGAACTATTTTCTGCAACTGTAACCAATTCATCTTTTTTAATTGGTTTGCCTGTTCTGCTTCTGTAAAAATTGCTTCAGCTATACTCCCCCTCCCCTATTTAGACCACGATATAAAAAGAAATCTAGCCCCTTCTTTGGAGCCGAGATAATTTTGAGCTCTAGCCGTCTCTCGGTGGCCAGCAATAAAAGGATTCCTGAATTAGTCTCAGTGTGTGGCGTTTCTCTATAGCTCACTCGGTAACAACACTACAACAATAGAGAAAACACTTAGAGTCTTCTAAGTTCTCTATCTCTTTTTTTCTGCCTATTCCGAATCTGTTGACTTTTCTAGTCATGTTGAGATAAAACTCACTGCATTCCAGCCAAAATAAAAAAAAAATTAGTCTTTTTTTTTTTTGAGACGGAGTCTCACTCATTGCCCAAGCTGGAGTGCAGTGGTGTGATCCCAGCTCACTGCAAGCTCCGCCTCCCAGGTACACACCATTCTCCTGCCTCAGCCTCCTGAGCAGCTGGGACTATGGGCGCCTGCCACCAGCCTGGCTAATTTTTTGTATTTTTAGTAGAGACAGGGTTTCACTGTGTTAGCCAGGATGCTCTCGATCTCCTGACCTTGTGATCCACCCGCCTCGGCCTCTCAAAGTGAGTAAGTCTTAAATAACTTTCAAATTGATGACTTTATAAATTGCTACAGCTCCATGGTAACCAACAACCTCAACACCTTTTAGAAATATGAATTCAGGTTTGCCTAACAATTGTATATGATGATAAAACACTTAGTTGAAAAATTAATAATTTAAAAGAAAAATAACTAGATAAACATTTCTGAAAGTTAGGCCCTCCAATAAAAAAGATTAAAGTATTGACCGCAGAGCCATAATATAAGGTATCTCTGTCTAGTATACATATTTTGCTTCTTTCTACCACAGAGAGGTCACATGAAAAAGCCAAAAAATAGAACTGCTAAAATTATTCTTCATTCATATTTGCTAATAGAACAAATGAGGCTGATAAGGAAAAAGATAGACTTGTTATTAATTCAAGGCTACTTGGAGATTTCATTTTTTAAATAAAATTTAGTCAGTCCTTGTTAAAATGTAAAGACTTTGAAATTAACCTTAAAATTATTTGAAATTATAAAAAAAAAAGGAGAAGAGAGGTAAAGGAAATTTTGTAAAAAACAAAATTGCCATGGAAACGTCTTTACTCAAAATTTTGGTCCACAGCCATCATTAGATTATGTATTGGGGACAAATAATGTTTAGCCATGTAAACAGTTTCTAATTTTGTCAGATATATAATTGGGATACAACAGTCTTATAAATCAAAGGGTTTGTATTACACCCTCATGAATACTATTCTAAAATAAAAACTATTTTTGTTAATGCATATACATGTATATATATTTAGATGTATTTATGCATATGTATATGTATTGTGATGTATGTTGTGTCTCCTTGGTAAAATCTAATATAGTCAACCAGAAATTTCCCAAAGATAAATGAGCACTCGTAGAAAATACAAAACATATAATAATAAACAGAAAGGTGTTTTAGTTCACAACATAAGCAAATCTTTAATAAATTAGCTGGTTTAAAAATTATTGGTAAAATAAAAATTTACATTTTCAATATTCCGAGCATACATTTTCCCTGGGTTTATTCCTTAGTTTTATATTTGTCTCTGTTCTATGTTTTAAGATTCAGGTTTGACAAGAAGAGCTATGCAACTATAAACCTAGCCTAAAACTATACTTTTTTTAATACATAGGACTAATTTAACTTAGTTGGTTTAGTAAAAACAACTGTGTTTCCTGAACTATAGTCCCAGGCTATAAAAATGATTAACAGATAAATAACTTGAAATAATTATGAGCTTTGTTGAATATCTCAGTTCTCCTAAATAATCTAGACAAACTGCTAAGAATACATAAATTGGGCAGAGGTAAATAGGATAAACAACCATAAATAAAATGTTTATGTAATTTGAAATCTTGTTATGTTAAATACTCATTAAATGTGTGGGTCATTTCCAAAAGGATAAAAGCTGAAAAAACATAAATATGTACTTGGATTCTGAAATTTAATATATAGACTAAATATATGTAAAAATAATGTCATAGAGTCTATTAAAACACCTAAAAATTATGTTATGGAAAAACATGTTTCTAAAAAATTATAAAATGTTTTTAGGTAGAAAATGCTGATATGTGACAAATATTTCTTACTTCCTATGTTTTCAGTAAAATATTAACATAACTAACAATTTAAATTTTTAATATATATAATTCTGTATATAAAATGTGCTAAATATATATATTTATGTTTTTATATATTTTATGTTTATATAAATATATATGATGTGTTTTAATGAGATAAAATAAGGAAGAATACAAATTTGCCCTTTATCAAGAGAAAACTTTCTTCAAACAGCAGGTTATTTAAAGGTTGTTTCAAAATATGAATTTAGAAAAAGACTAGAAACAAGATAGGAAAGAACCAGTAGGAGAGAGATGTAAAGAAAAGCAGTGTACATTAAGATGTATTTTTTTAAGGAAAGTAATAAAAGGAGAATAATTTTACATAATAAAGAACCTTGCATAGTACATTTTTCATTCTAAAGTTAAATGACTGGTTACTTAAGAAGGAGGAAGTATAAAATAAGGCAGAAAATCCAAGCATGTCTTAAGTGGACTATGTAAGTTATAATAAGGTTCATAAAAAGGGGATTTAAATAAGGAATTTTTTGTGTGCTCAAATTGGCTACAGTTAAAATAGAATTGTCACTTGTAATAGTCTTTCCAAACATTAAGCATTGCTGTTAAAATATACTAATATAAAATGAAAAAATTTGGTCCCATATATTAGAACAAGTTTTTTTTTTTGAAGTACTAATTTGCTTTTAGAAAACTTGTGAGAGGTTTTGACTTTTTAGTTGTGAAATTTCTTTCTTTAGCAGCCATTGTATGAACTACAGACACCTTGTATTTGGTCACATTTCTTTCTGAAATCTAATTCATTTCCTTAGTTTAAGGTTGGAAATAAAGGTCTCCTTTTTTTTCCTTAAAAAGGTGTATCTTTGCATCGTTGGGGTTATAACTCTCTCCTTCAACCTATTTGTCAACTCTTTTATCTTTGTTTCTCTTGTTCTACTTCTGCTATTATGGCTTTTTGCAAAAATGTTTATATTAAGGGTCTATAAAAGCAATGTTTTCCTCCAGTACAACTTGACTCTGTACTCTGAACTTTTCTTGATGTGTCTGAACTGTTCCATGTAACAAGTAAACTTCCCATGCTGTTACTAAAAACCTTCTATTCTGCTCAAGATACCAATTTTCTTTACATTTCTCTTTATATAGTATACACTAAAAACCGTGGACACACTCTTCCTGTGTCTGATTAAATTTAACAACATTTTCATCAGGTTTGAGTTCCAGGTTATCTAAATGGACTTCTCATAAAAAGTAATTATACTAAATGAGGTCTTTCTTTATCTCTTTAGTAACTGGCCTAAAAAACGATGTTTATGTCATTGTCTAGAAAATTTTCTATCTTGTCTTTATTAGGTCTTTGCTTACTTAGGAAAACTGAGCTTTCAAAAAGTTAAGGGCTTTACATCAATATTACATTCTGTTTTGCTTTTGAAGTCTTTTGGTCATTACTCTGGTTAAGTGAATAACTATTATTGAACAGTTACCTATGGTTTTTTTTGATCAAGTGTTTTGAACCTTTGACATCTTTTCCAGGTTTCCCAAAAATCAAAATCTTAAATTAAGTCTTTTTACCTAAAATTAGATTTAGGATTTTTAGGTGGGTTCCTGGAAAGCCTCAAAGAATGTATCTATCATCTTCTAGTGCTATTACATGATTAGACTTATCTGGCATATTGCACGGAAGGCTTTGTCAAATGATAAGTGATACTAGAAATTCATTTAGTTAAATTTATGGATATGTTATTGACATAAATCCTCCAAGACTGTATAAATTTATATAAATATATCACCAGTTATAATTTGGATTGCTATGTTAAATCTTTTCTAAAGTTCTATTTGAATGGATATGTTAGTAATGTGAGTATTCTAAAGATTATACAAAAATTATTCTATATTTACATAAAATTTAAACTGAAGTCCGATGGTCCTAAAATGATGCTTTTAGTTATGATTCCAGTTATCTTAAGCTGCCAAGATATAACAGAAATAAGTACATTTTCTTGTGAATTGGAATTTTTCATCAGTAGTTTCAATGCCCTGAAAATCTTCTGTAACTCTTTATCCTTCACTCCCGACAAGTACCTGGCCACTAAATCTTTTAATGTGTTCAGTTTTGTTTTTCCATAACGTCAAACAGTTGGAATCATGCAGTAAGGAGCTTTTTCAGATTGCCTTCTTTCTCTTAGTAATATGCAATTAAGTTTTATCCACATATTTTCATGGTTTTTTAGCTCATAATCCTTATTACTAAGTTATATTCCACATTTGGATCGACTGTAATTTATCAGTTTAACTACTGAAAGACATATTTGTTGCTTCCATGTTTTGGCAATTATAAATAAAGGTACTATGAATGTCTGTGTGTAGATTTGTTTAGACCTCACTTTTCAACTTCTTTGAGTATATACCAAAGACTGTGGTTACTGGATCATACAATAAGGGAATGTTTTACCTTATAAGAAACTGCTAAGCTGTCTTCCAAATCAGCTCGACCATTTTGCATTTTCACCAGCAATGAATGAGAGTTCTTGTTGCTTCACATTCTTGTCAGCATTTGGTGGTGTCAGTGTTATGAATTTGGGCCATTTATAATAACTGTACACTGGTGTCTTGTTCTTATTTGCATTTCTCTGATGAAATATTATGTACAGCATCTGTTTATATAACTATTTTCTATCTATAGATCTGCCTCAGTGAGGTATCAGTTAAGGTCTTTGGCCCACTTTTCATTTTTACTTTTCAGTTGGGCTATATTTTTTCTTATTTCAGAGTTTTAAGAGTTATTTGTATATTTTGAAAAACAGTCCTCAACCAGATATGTCATTTGCAATTTTTTTATCATTTCTCTTCTCCTTTTCTTTCCTTCTCAGTTTCTTTGAAAAGGCAGAAATGTTTAATTTTGATAAATTATTGCTTATAAATTCTTTCAGGGATTGAACTTTTCGTGCTGTATATCAAATTTCATTGCTAAACCCAGAGTCATCCAGATTTTCTCTTATGTCATATTCTGTAATTTATATAGTTTTGCATTTTATATTTTGACCTCTGATAAATTTTAACTTTTTGTGAAAATGTAATAGTTATGATTCATATTTTTGCATGTGAGTATTCAGTTGTTCTAGTACCATTTGCTGAAAAGACTATCAGCTGCCTTGCATTTCCTTCAGTCCTTTGTAAAAACATTCATTAGTTTTTTAAGTTAAAGAAATGTTCTTATGTAGAACTACTTCTGGGCTCTTTATTCTTTCTGTTGGTTGATTTGTGTATTCTTTCACCAATATCACACTGTCTTGATTACTGTAGCTTTATATTAAGTCTTGAAATTCAGTGGTGTCTCAGTCCTCCAATTTTGTTATTCCCCTACAATATTGTGTTGGGTATTCTAGGTATTTTCCTTCTCCGTATAAACTAGAGAATCAATTTGTCAAAATAAATTTCTGATGTTTTGACTGGGATTGTATCGAATGTCTAGCTCAATTTGTAAAGAGTTGACATATTGACAATATTGTATCTTCTTGTGAATAAACGTGGTACAGATCTCCATTTTTATTATTCTATAATTTCTTTAATCAGATATGAATATTTCTCAGACTACATGACTCCATCCTACATTGAGCAATGTGCAATGATAAATGCCACTTTCTGTACACAACAAGTTACCTCTGGTGGCCAGATGTCTAATCACAGACAGGCAGGTCAGAGAAAACTACAAACACCTAAGAAAAATTGTTCCCAAACATAGCAAGCAGGCCATGTGCAAGTTATGAACATTTTCTGATAGCAGTAATATTTCAGCTCACCAGAGAATACACTGTGTGTTCTGATAAGAGGTTACAATGTATTTTGAGGTAGGGGAAATCTCACTGTTAAGACCATATCCAAATATGCTGTTAGTCAAATACTAAATGTCTTCCTATACATGTGGAAACATCAGAGTAGCAGTAACTAAACGCATTTAACACTAAGTCCTCTCTGCATATCAGTGGCCCTGAGTCTCCTGAGAAACACCAAGTTTACACTTCCTCTTACGCCACTGCTGCTTTTACTGTATGTATATTTCCATATATGTTTTATTCTATTTTTGAATTTTATATTCCATTAGTTTCTCAGTCTTTTGATAAATCCACAGCACAGTATTTTACTTTCTAAGTCCTTATATAATTGAGGAAGTCATTCTGTTTTAATTTTCAGATTTTTCATGATTTTTTTTATTCATTTATTTTTCTTTGAAATAAAATGTCTATCTTCAGAACATAAGCAAATTTCATCTATATTGGAATCAAACTCAATTTATAAGCAGAATAAAGCATTATTGACCTCCTGGTACTGTTGAGTCTTCTCTCCCAAACATGTTGTGTCATCATTTTTCATCTGCACAAATTTGATTTTTTTGTTTTTTATAAATATTTTACACTCAATTTTTATTACATTTTTTAAAAATATAATTCTCCTCAGAATCCAGGCAATGTCTTTTATTTTGTGTCCATACACATGAACAGATCATATTCTCATTGATTCTATTTTGTATTATGATTTTTTATTTACAACTTTATTTTAATTTCAGGAGTACATGTGCAGGATGTGCAGGTTTGTTACATAGGTAAATGCGTGCCATGGTGGTTTGCTATGCAGATTATCCTATTACCCAGGTGTTAAGCCTAGCATGCATTAGCTATTTTTTCTTAACCCATTCACCACCCTCTGAAAGACCCCAGTGTGTGTTGTTCCCCTCCCACGTGTCCATGTGTTCTCATCATTCAGCTTTCACTTATAAGTGATAACACGCGGCATTTGATTTTCTGTTCCTGTGTTGGTTTGCTGAGGATAATGCTCCCCAGCTCCATCAGTGTCCCTGCAAAGGACATAATCTCATTCATTTTTATGGCTGCATTGTATTTCATGCTGTATATCTACTATATTTTCTTTATCCAATTTATCATTGATGGGCATTTTGGTTGATTCCATATCTTTGTTATTGTGAATAGTGCTGCAATGAACATACACATGCATGTATCTTTATGTTAGAAAAAGTTATATTTCTTTGGGTATATACCCAGTAATGGGATTGCTGTATCAAATGGTATTTCTGTGCCTAGGTCTTTGAGGAATCGCCACATTGTCTTCAACAATGATTGAACTAATTTATATTCCAACCAACAGTATAAAAGCATTCCTTTTTCTCCACAACCTTGCCAACATCTGTTATTTTTTACTTTTAAATAATTGCTATTCTGACTGGTGTGAGATGGTATCTCCTTGTGGTTTTGATTTGCATTTCTCTAGTGATCATCAATGTTGAGGTTTTTTTCATGTGTTTGTTGGACTACATGTATGTCTTATTTTTAGAAGTGTCTGTTCATGTCTTTTACCCTTTTTTAAAATGGGTTGTTTGTTTATTCCTTGTAAACTTAAGATCCTTATACATGCTGGATATTAGACCATTGTCAGATAGAAAGAGTGCAAAAATGTTCTCCCATTCTGTAGATTGCCTGTTTATTCTGTTGATAGTTTCTTTTGCTGTGCAGAAGCTCTTTAGTTTAATTAGATTCCATTTGTCAATTTTTGTTTTTATTGCAATTGCTTTTGACATCTTTGTGACAAAATCTTTGCCCACACTTAGGTTCTAAATGGTATTGCCTAGGTCTTCTTCTAGGGTTTTTATAGTTTTGAGTTTTACATTTAAGTCTTTAATCCATCCTGACTTAATTTTTGTATGTGGTGTAAGGAAGGTGTTCAGTTTCAATATTCTGCATATGGCTAGCCAGTTCCACGAAGACTATTTATTAAATAGGAAATTATTTGCTCATTGCTTGTTTTTTGTCATGTTTGTTGAAAATCAGATGGTTGTAGGTGTGCCATCTTATTTCTGGTTTCTCTTTTCTCTTCCATTGGTCTATGTGTCTGTTCTTATACCAGTATCATGCTGTTTTGGTTACTGCAGCCATGTAGTATAGTTTGAAGTTCAGTAGCATGATGCCTCCAGCTTTTTTTTTTTTTCCTTAAGATTGTCTTGGCTATTCAGGCTCCTTTTTGGTTTCCTATGAATTTTAAATTTTTTTTCTGGTTCTGTGAAAAATGTCAATGGCAGTTTAATGGAAATAGCATTGAATTTATAAACTGCTTTGGGCACTATGACCATTTTGATGATACTCATTCTTTTTTTTTCTTTTTTTTTATTATACTTTAAGTTTTAGGGTACATGTGTGCAATGTGCAGGTTAGTTACATATGTATACATGTGCCATGTTGGTGTACTGTACCCAGTAACTCATCATTTAACATTAGGTATATCTCCAAATGCTATCCCTCCCCTCTCCCCCACACCCCACAACAGGCTCTGCTGTGTGATGTTCCCCTTCCTGTATCCATGTGTTCTCATTGTTCAATTCCCACCTATGAGTGAGAACATGCAGTGTTTGGTTTTTTGTCCTTGCGATAGTTTACTGAGAATGATGGTTTCCAGCTTCATCCACGTCCCTACAAAGGACATGAACTCATCATTTTTTATGGCTGCATAGTATTCCATGGTGTATATGTGCCACATTTTCTTCATCCAGTCTATCATTGTTGGACATTTGGGTATATACCCAATAATGGGATGGCTGGGTCAAATGGTATTTCTAGTTCTAGATCCCTGAGGAATGGCTACACTGACTTCCACAATGGTTGAACTAGTTTACAGTCCCAACAACAGTGTAAAAGTGTTCCTATTTCTCCACATCCTCTCCAGCACCTGTTGTTTCCTGACTTTTTAATGATTGCCATTCTAACTGGTATGAGATGGTATCTCACTGTGGTTTTGATTTGCCTTTCTCTGATGACCAGTGATCATGAGCATTTTTTCATGTGTCTTTTAGCTGCAAAAATGTCTTCTTTTGAGAAGTGTCTGTTCATATCCTTCGCCCACTTTTTGATGGGGTTGTTTGTTTTTTTCTTGTAAATTTGTTTGAGTTCATTGTAGATTCTGGATATTAGCCCTTTGTCAGATGAGTAGATGGCAAAAATTTTCCCCCATTCTGTAGGTTGCCTGTTCACCCAATACTCATTCTTTCTATAAATGAGCATAAAATATTTTTGCATTTGTTTGTGTCCTCTCTAATTTCTTTGAGTAGTGTTTTGGAGTCCTCATTGTAGACATCTTTCACCTCTCTGGTTAGCTGTACTCCTAGGAATTTTATACTTTTTGTGGCAATTGTGAATGAGAGTTCATTTATGGTTTGGTTCTTTTCTTGCCTGTTACCAGTGTATAAGAATGATAGCGATTTTTGTACATTGATTTTGTATCCTGAGACTTTGCTGAAGTTGTTTATTAGCTTAAGAAACTTTCAGGCTGAGATAATGGTGTTTTCTGGATATAGGATTATGTCATCTGCAAATAAAGACAGTTGAACTTCCTCTCTTCCTATTTGAATACCTTTTTTTCTTTCACTTGCCTTATTGCCCTGGACATAGAGCTTCCATTACTATGTTGAATAGGAGTGGTGAGAGAGGGCATTCTTGTCCTGTGCCTCTTTTGTTTGTTTGCTTTTGAGACAGAGTCTCGCTCTGTCACCCAGGCTGGACTGCAGTGGCATGAACTCGGCTCACTGCAAGCTCTGCCTCCCAGGTTCATGCCATTCTCCTGCCTCAGCCTCCGGAGTAGCTGGGACTACAGGAGCCCACCACTGAGCCCGGCTAATTTTTTGTATTTTTAGTAGAGACGGGGTTTCACCGTGTTAGCCAGGATCGTCTCAATCACCGGACCTCATGATCCACCCGCCTCGGCCTCCCAAAGTGCTGGGATTACTGGCATGAGCCACCGCGCTCAGCTGTCTTGTGCCTCTTTTCAAGGGGAATGCTTTCACATTTTGCCCATTCAGTATGATATTGGCTGTGGGTTTGTCATAGATGGCTCTTATTATTTTGAGGTGTGTGTATTAGTCTGTTTTCACCCTGCTGATAAAGACATACCCGAGACTGGGCAATTTATAAAAGAAAGAGTTTTAACAGACTTACAGTTCCACGTGGCTGGGGAGGCTTCACAGTCACAGTAGAAGGCAAGGAAGTGCAAATCACATTTTATGTGGATAGTGGCAGGCAAAAAGAGAGCTTGTGCAAGGAAATTCCTGTTTTTCAAATCATCAGATCTCATGAGACTCATTCACTATTACAAGAACAGCGCAGGAAAGACCTGCCTCTATATTTGAATCACCTTCCATTGGGTTCCTCCCACGACAAGTGGGAATTGCCAGAATTACAATTCAAGATGAGATTTGGGTAGGGACACAGCCAAACCATATTAGTATATTCCTTCAGTACCTAGTTTGTTGAGAGTTATTAACATGAAAGGATGTTGAATGTTATTGAAGGCCTTTTCTATATCTATTGAGAGAATCATATGGTTTCTGTCTTTAGTTCTGTTTATGTGATGAATCACATTTACTGATTGGTTCATGTTGAACCAACATCACAATCCAGGGATGAACCCTACTTGATCATGGTGGATAAGCTTTTTGAAGTGCTTCTGGATTCGATTTGCCAGCACTTTTTTTTTCTTTTTTTTTTTCATTTATTATTATTATACTTTAAGTTTTAGGGTACATGTGCACAATGTGCAGGTTAGTTACATATGTATACATGTGCCATGCTGGTGCGCTGCATCCACTAACTCGTCATCTAACATTAGGTATATCTCCCATAGCTATCCCTCCCCCCTCCCCCCAACCCACAACAGTCCCCAGAGTGTGATGTTCCCCTTCCTGTGTCCATGTGTTCTCATTGTTCAGTTCCCACCTATGAGTGAGAATATGCGGTGTTTGGTTTTTTGTTCTTGCGATGGTTTACTGAGAATGATGATTTCCAATTTCATCCATGTCCCTACAAATGACATGAACTCATCATTTTTTATGGCTGCATAGTATTCCATGGTGTATATGTGCCACATTTTCTTAATCCAGTCTATCATTGTTGGACATTTGGGTTGGTTCCAAGTCTTTGCTATTGTGAATAATGCTGCAATAAACATACATGTGCATGTGTCTTTATAGCAGCATGATTTATAGTCCTTTGGGTATATACCCAGTAATGAGATGGCTGGGTCAAATGGTATTTCTAGTTTTAGATCCCTGAGGAATCACCACACTGACTTCCACAAGAGTTGAACTAGTTTACAATCCCACCAATGGGGTAAAAGTGTTCCTATTTCTCCACATCCTCTCCAGCACCTGTTGTTTCCTGACTTTTTAATGATTGCCATTCTAACTGGTGTGAGATGGTATCTCATTGTGGTTTTGATTTGTATTTCTCTGATGGCCAGTGATGGTGAGCATTTTTTCATGTGTTTTTTGGCTACATAAATGTCTTCCTTTGAGAAGTGTCTGTTCATGTCCTTCGCCCACTTTTTGATGGGGTTGTTTGTTTTTTTCTTGTAAATTTGTTTGAGTTCATTGTAGATTCTGGATATTAGCCCTTTGTCAGATGAGTAGGTTGTGAAAATTTTCTCCCATTTTGTAGGTTGCCTGTTCACTCTGATAGTAGTTTCTTTTGCTGTGCAGAAGCTCTTTAGTTTAATTAGACCCCATTTGTCAATTTTCGCTTTGGTTGCCATTGCTTTTGATGGTTTAGACATGAAGTCCTTGCCCATGCCTATGTTCTGAATGGTAAAGCCTAGGTTTTCTTCTAGGGTTTTTATGGTTTTAGGTCGAACATTTAAGTCTTTAATCCATCTTGAATTGATTTTTGTATAAGGTGTAAGGAAGGGATCCAGTTTCAGCTTTCTACATATGGCTAGCCAGTTTTCCCAGCACCATTTATTAAATAGGGAATCCTTTCCCCATTGCTTGTTTTTCTCAGGTTTGTCAAAGATCAGATAGTTGTAGATATGCAGCGTTATTTCTGAGGGCTCTGTTCTGTTCCATTGATCTATATCTCTGTTTTGGTACCAGTACCATGCTGTTTTGGTTACTGTAGCCTTGTAGTATAGTTTGAAGTCAGGTAGTGTGATGCCTCCAGCTTTGTTCTTTAGGCTTAGGATTGACTTGGTGATGCGGGCTCTTTTTTGGTTCCATATGAACTTTAAAGTAGTTTTTTCCAATTCTGTGAAGAAAGTCATTGGTAGCTTGATGGGGATGGCATTGAATCTGTAAATTACCTTGGGCAGTATGGCCATTTTCAAGATATTGATTCTTCCTACCCATGAGCATGGAATGTTCTTCCATTTGTTTGTATCCTCTTTTATTTCCTTGAGCAGTGGTTTGTAGTTCTCCTTGAAGAGGTCCTTCACATCCCTTGTAAGTTGGATTCCTAGGTATTTTATTCTCTTTGAAGCAATTGTGAATGGGAGTTCACTCATGATTTGGCTCTCTGTTTGTCTGTTGTTGGTGTATAAGAATGCTTGTGATTTTTGTTCATTGATTTTGTATCCTGAGACTTTGCCGAAGTTGCTTATCAGCTTAAGGAGATTTTGGGCTGAGACAATGGGGTTTTCTAGATACACAGTCATGTCATCTGCAAACAGGGACAATTTGACTTCCTCTTTTCCTAATTGAATGCCCTTTATTTCCTTCTCCGGCCTAATTGCCCTGGCCAGAACTTCCAACACTATGTTGAATAGGAGTGGTAAGAGAGGGCATCACTCTCTTGTGCCCGTTTTCAAAGGGAATGCTTCCAGTTTTTGCCCATTCAGTACGATATTGGCTGTGGGTTTGTCATAGATAGCTCTTATTATTTTGAGATACGTCCCATCAGTACCTAATTTATTGAGAGTTTTTAGCATGAAGCATTGTTGAATTTTGTCAAAGGCCTTTTCTGCATCTATTGAAATAATCATGTGGTTTTTGTCTTTGGTTCTGTTTATATGCTGGATTACATTTATTGATTTGCGTATATTGAACCAGCCTTGCATCCCAGGGATGAAGTCCACTTGATCATGGTGGATAAGCTTTTTGATGTGCTGCTGGATTCACTTTGCCAGTATTTTATTGAGGATTTTTGCATCAATGTTCATCAAGGATATTGGTCTAAAATTCTCTTTTTTTGTTGTGTCTCTGCCCGGCTTTGGTATCAGGATGATGCTGGCCTCATAAAATGAGTTAGGGAGGATTCCCTCTTTTTCTATTGATTGGAATAGTTTCAGAAGAAATGGTACCAGTTCCTCCTTGTACCTCTGGTAGAATTCGGCTGTGAATCCATCTGGTTCTGTACTCTTTTTGGTTGGTAAGCTATTGATTATTGCCACAATTTCAGATCCTGTTATTGGTCTATTCAGAGATTCAACTTCTTCCTGGTTTAGTCTTGGGAGAGTGTATGTGTCGAGGAATTTATCCATTTCTTCTAGATTTTCTAGTTTATTTGTGTAGAGGTGTTTGTAGTATTCTCTTATGGTAGTTTGTATTTCTGTGGGATCGGTGGTGATATCCCCTTTATCATTTTTTGTTGCGTCTATTTGATTCTTCTCTCTTTTTTTCTTTATTAGTCTTGCTAGTGGTCTATCAATTTTGTTGATCCTTTCAAAAAACCAGCTCCTGGATTAATTAATTTTTTGAAGGGTTTTTTGTGTCTCTATTTCCTTCAATTCTGCTCTGATTTTAGTTACTTCTTGCCTTCTGCTAGCTTTTGAATGTGTTGGCTCTTGTTTTTCTAGTTCTTTTAATTGTGATGTTCGGTGTCAATTTTGGATCTTTCCTGCTTTCTCTTGTGGGCATGTAGTGCTATAAATTTCCCTCTACACACTGCTTTGAATGCATCCCAGAGATTCTGGTATGTTGTGTCTTTGTTCTCATTAGTTTCAAAGAACATCTTTATTTCTGCCTTCATTTCATTATGTACCCAGTAGTCATTCAGGAGCAGGTTGTTCAGTTTCCATGTAGTTGAGCGGTTTTGAGTGAGATTCTTAATCTTGAGTTCTAGTTTGATTGCACTGTGGTCTGAGAGATAGTTTGTTATAATCTCTGTTCTTTTACATTTGCTGAGGAGAGCTTTACTTCCAACTATGTGGTCAATTTTGGAATAGGTGTGGTGTGGTGCTGAAAGAAATGCATATTCTGTTGATTTGGGGTGGAGAGTTCTGTAGATGTCTATTAGGTCCGCTTGGTGCAGAGCTGAGTTCAATTCCTGGGTATCCTTGTTGACTTTCTGTCTCCTTGATCTGTCTAATGTTGACAGTGGGGTGTTAAAGTCTCCCATTATTAATGTGTGGGAGTCTAAGTCTCTTTGTAGGTCACTCAGGACTTGCTTTATGAATCTGGGTGCTTATGTATTGGGTGCATATATATTTAGGATAGTTAGCTCTTCTTGTTGAACGGATGCCTTTTCCATTATGTAATGACCTTCTTTGTCTCTTTTCATCTTTGTTGGTTTAAAGTCTGTTTTATCAGAGACTAGGATTACAACCCTGCCTTTTTTTGTTTTCCATTTTCTTGGTAGATCTTCCTCCATCCCTTTATTTTGAGCCTATGTGTGTCTCTGCACGTGAGATGGGTTTCCTGAATACAGCACACTGATGGGTCTTGACTCTTTATCCACTTTGCCGGTCTGTGTCTTTTAATTGGAGCATTTAGCCCATTCACATTTAACGTTAATATTGTTATGTGTGAAGTTGATCCTGTCATTATGATGTTAGCTGGTTATTTTGCTCATTGGTTGATGCAGTTTCTTCCTAGTCTCAATGGTCTTTATATTTTGGCATGATTTTGCAGTGGCTGGTACCGGTTGTTCCTTTCCATGTTTAGCGCTTCTTTCAGGAGCTCTTTTAGGGCAGGCCTGGTGGTGACAAAATCTCTCAGCATTTGCTTGTCTGTAAAGTATTTTATTTCTCCTTCACTTATGAAGCTTAGTTTGGCTGGATATGAAATTCTGGGTTGAAAATTCTTTTCTTTAAGAATGTTGAATATTGGCCCCCACTCTCTCCTGGCTTATAGAGTTTCTGCTGAGAGTTCCGCTGTTAGTCTGATGGGCTTCCCTTTGAGGGTAACCCAACCTTTCTCTCTGGCTGCCCTTAACATTTTTTCCTTCATTTCAACTTTGGTGAATCTGACAATTATGTGTCTTGGAGTTGCTCTTCTCGAGGATTATCTTTGTGGCGTTCTCTGTATTTCCTGAATCTGAATGTTGGCCTGCCTTGCTAGATTGGGGAAGTTCTCCTGGATAATATCCTGCAGAGTGTTTTCCAACTTGGTTCCATTCTCCCCGTCACTTTCAGGTACACCAATCAGACGTAGATTTGGTCTTTTCACATAGTCCCATATTTCTTGGAGGCTTTGCTCGTTTCTTTTTATTCTTTTTTCTCTAAACTTCCCTTCTCACTTCATTTCATTCATTTGATCTTCCATCACTGATACCCTTTCTTCCAGTTGACCGCATCGGCTCCTGAGGCTTCTGCCTTCTTCACGTCGTTCTCAAGCCTTGGTTTTCAGCTCCATCAGCTCCTTTAAGCACTTCTCTGTATTGGTTATTCTAGTTATAAATTTGTCTACATTTTTTTCAAAGTTTTCAACTTCTTTGCCTTTGGTTTGAATGTCCTCCCGTAGCTCGGAGTAATTTGATCGTCTGAAGCCTTCTTCTCTCAGCTCATTAAAGTCATTCTCCATCCAGCTTTGTTCCGTTGCTGTTGAGGAACTGTGTTCCTTTGGAGAAGGAGAGGCACTCTGCTTTTTTGCATCAATGTTTATCAAGGATACTGGCCTGAAGTTTTCTTTTTTTTATTGTATCTATGACAGGTTTTGATATCAGAGTGATGCTGGCCTCATAGAACAAGTTAGGGAGGAGCCCCTCCTTTTAAATTGTTTGGAATAATTTCAGTAGGAATAGCACCAGCTCGTCTTTGAAACTCTGGTAAAATTTAGTGTTAAATCCTTCTGGTTCTGGGCTTTTTTTTGGTTGGGAGGCTATTTACTGCTGTCTCAATTTCAGAAATTGTTATTGGTCTATTTAAAGATTCAGTTTCTTCCTGGTTCAGCCTTAGAAGGGTGTATGTGTCCAGGAATTTGTCCATTTTTAAATTATCTAGTTGATATGCATAGAGGGGTTTATAGTATTCTCTGATGGTTGTTCGTATTTTTGTGGGGTCAGTGGTGATATCCTCCTTATCATTTCTGATTGTGTCTATTTGATTCTTCTCTCTTTCCTTACTTATTAGTCTACCTAGAAGTCTATGCAATTTATTAATGTTTTCAAAAAGAAGCAGCTCCTTGATTGAAACAGCTCATTGATTTTTTGAAAGAATTTTTGCATCTATATCTCCTTCACATTGGCTCTGAGCTTGGTTATTTTTTTGTCTTCTGCTAGCTTTGGGGTTTGTTTGTTCTTGGTCTCTAGTTTTTTCAGTTGTGGCATTAGGTTGTTAACTTGAGATCCTTCTAGCTTTTTGATGTGGGCATTTAATGATATAAATTTCCTTCTTAACATTGCTGTAGCTGTGTCCCAGAGAATCTGGTACATTATATCTTTGTGCTCATTAGTTTCAAAGAACTGCTTAATTTCTGCCTTAATTTCACTATTTACCCTAAAGCCATGCAGGAGCAGGTTGTTCAGTTCCCATGTAGTTTCATGATTTTGAGTGAATTTCTTAATCTTGGGTTCTAATTTGATTGTGCTGTGGTCTGAGAGACTATTATGATTTCAGTTCTTTTGCACCTGCTAATGAGTGTTTTACTTCCGATTATGTGATCAATTTTAAAGTAAGTGCCATGTGGTAATGAGAACAATGTATTTTCTGTTTTTTTGTTTTGTTTTGTTTTTTTTCTTTTTCTTTTTTTTTTTGGTGGAGAGTTCTGTAGTTGTCTTTCAGGTCCACTTGATCCAGCGCTGAGTTATGGCCTTATGGTCCCAAATATCTTTGTTAACTTTCTGTCTTGATGATCTATTTAATATTGTCAGTGTGGTGTTAAAGTATCCCACTATGATTGTGCGGAAGTCTAAGTCTCTTTGAAGGTCTCTAAGAACTTGCTTTACAAATCTGGGTGCTCCTGTGTTGGGCTCATATATATTTAGGATAACTAGGTCTTCTTGTTGAATTGAACCTTTTACCATTTTGTAATGCCCTTTTTTGTCACTTTTTATCTTTTTTGGTTTAAAGTCTGTTTTGTCATAAACTAGGATTGCAACCTAGTTTTTTTTTTCTGTTTTCCATAATTGATTCTATTAATGTGATTAATGGTATGACTGGATTTCCAAATGCTGAGTCTTACTTACATTTGTGGTATAAAGGGCACTTGATCATTTTATAATACTTTAATATGCTGGAACAATGGTTTATAATAGCTAATTTTTTAAAATTTATATTCATATGTCTTTTATATGTCTGTAATATTTCTATGGCCAATTAAGGCAAAGTTCTCCTATTACCCTTATTCGCCCTTCATAAAATCTATTGCAAATATTGACCACTACTTTAAAACTCTTGAAAAACCTAAGTAGCATCAGTTTATCCATTAGTCATTGCTAGAATTTCTATCTGGATTACATAAACTTGGTGCTTTGCTGTGTGTAAGACAGTCTAATAAATATAAATATTGTATGCTTCAGAATCTTTATATCTATATGGGTAAATGTTGATAAAATATATATATTCCTGGAATATATGTAATGTACATTTGCATGTTAATTTGCTCTACATTGAAAAAAGTCCCAATATACTTTTCATACCAAAATTTACCTTGAAATCCTTATTTCCATTGTAACCTGCTGACACACCTTTCTCAAGTTCTTTGTATTATACCATTTATCTATATAGAATTAAATAATAGTTAGGCCCACGAATCTGAGAATTAACATCAAAGTAGATTTTCACTAGGGGAAAGGCTCAGGGTAGCACAGAATCCAGTAAGACACAGCTACACTGCTGCAAGTCCCTCATATCTCTGACTCTGCATTTCCTGCTCCCTCCACATGAGCCCTTTTTTTTTCCTCCATAGATCATGGAAGATACAAGCCTCTCCGGGACACCCATTTCTTTGGAGACACTCACTAGAAAGTTCTAATTGTATTTGGCAATTAGTAATTGATACAAAGTTTTATTTTCCAAAAATATCTTCAACTGTCATTGTTACTAGTGCTTACTGTCATTGTTGCTATAAGTGAAATGATAATTGCAATTGTGTGGGGAGATGAGGTCACAGGATCACAATCCCATATCCCAGACCTGGCTGCCTCCCTCCCACATACTCAATGGGTGTCCTAAGCATCACCTGAGCTCTTCATCCTTGCAGCAAGAAGCTGTTCAGTGAATACTTTATAATTTTTGTCTAGGAGGCACAGTCTGCAAGTAAAGAAAGTGCATTGGGAGATGGAGCAATAGGTCTTATCTGGAATATGAATTCTTCGGGGCTAGAAACTAACTCAGTGCAAAAGGCATGCAGGAAGGAGGCAATAATTACTGAGTCATGGAATACATTTGTGGAGAAGAAATGAAGGTCAGGACCCTAAACCAGCCCCTAACTACTTCTAATTTAATTAATATAATCCTCATTGCTCATCATTGCTGAGTTTTACAAAGTCATAAAATTATTTTATTGATATTATGTAGTATAATTTGGAAATTAATCTGCTAGTATTGTATCTTCACTACAAGAGTCAGCGACAACATTTCCAGGATTAGTAGAGGTGTTTTATACCCAGAAGTCTGTAATAATGTATAAGATGTCGTGAACTAAATTATCTTATTGTGTTCAGAAATAGTATTTTTTATAATAGGTTTTTACCAACTATGGGCATATTATACACTTAGTGGAGACTGTAACTGTGTGGTGACATCTGTTGTCTATTCATTATAATGAGACTGTTTTTCTTCATAAAGTCAGTTTTTCTTCTGCCTAATAAACTTAGGTTTTAAAATGTTTAACAATTATGTCATAGGAATAATTACATTTGATACTTTTGCATTCACAAATACAAATTTTCTTAATGTATAAATGATAATTTAACTTCTACTCTGCAATATTTTATCTCCTACTCCTGTTCCATGTCCCTTTGTTTAGCAGTCGTTTTATTGTGTGCTGTTTCTTGGTTAAGATGCAAAAGAGTCTCCTTCAATTCCAACATAAATTCATTTGTGCATTCAATAAATTCCATTTGTCTCATATAATTATTATTTTAAGATTAGACTACAGTCTAATATTTTTACTTGGATCTCTGACACTATAGTTGATATTTGCCTTAAAAATAAACAATTGCAAATAAAAAATTATCACAGTCACAACGGAAAAATCTAAGAAAAGCTACAATTATTTTAAAATCTAACAAGATATACAAAATTATTATGAAAATATGTGGATTATTTAAATAACTGAATATGTCTGATGTTGAGACAGCATAGAGGTTAAGTACATTGTCAACTTCTGATGCTGCCCCTTCAAAGAAATTACTATAGAAATACTCAGTCAGCCTTCTTGTGCCTAAGAGTTCCTCACCTGCAAAATGAGAATAATAAAGTGCTTCTTAGAAGTGTCATGAAAGTTATATTTAAAACACTAATGTAGAACTGTTACCATGGATGTGCATGTACGTATGTCTGTGTGTATGACAGCAAAACTGTTAGCAAAAGAAAAGTGGAATTTAATAAGTTATGGGTTAAAAACAATGGTAAGTGGACAATACTGGATTTCAGCTGCCATGACAAAACGGTCCTCATGTGTCCATGCAGGAGTCGCTCACTCTGAATGAGATTCCAGTCATTGGAAAATAGCAAATGGCTCCCAGGGATTTGGCAATAGGAATAACCTTCTTATCTCAGACCCTACTTGGGTTTCTGGGGAATTTCTTTCTTCTTTACCATTATAGTTTCCTTTATTTCACCAGGTGCACATTAAGGTCCACGGATTTTATTCTCAAGTACCTAACTGTAGCCAACTTCTTGATCACCCTCCCTAAAAGAGTCCCACAGCAGACTGTGGCCACGTTGGGGGTGAAATATTTCCTCAGTGATATTGGGTGCAAACTTGTTTATGTTCACAGAGTGGTCAGGGGTGTGTCCATTGGTACAACCTGACTACTGAGTATCTTCTAGGCCATGATGATTAGCCCCATGAACTTGAGATTGGCAGAGTTGAAACTACAAGCTCCCAAGTACATTGGGTCCTCCAAAATACTGTGCTGGATTGTGAATATACCGGTAAATATTACTTTTTCTATAAATATGACTGGGAAGTGAAATGGCAAAAACAACACAAAGAAAAAGGATGTGGGATACTGCTCTGCAGTAGTTAACAAATTTACAGGATTACTGCATATAACATTGTCATCATCCTATGATGTTTTGTGTTTTTGCCTCATGGCCTGGGCTAGTCAGTGACTCCATGGTGTTGATCCTGTAGAGGCACAAGCAGCGGGTCGAACAAACTTATAGGACCAACCTCTCTCCCAGCCCCTCCCCTGAGTCCAGAGTCACTCAAAGCATTCTTGTCCTAGTGAGCACCTTTCTATTGTTTCATATTGTCTTCTCCATCTCATCGTTATTTTTTACCATTTTACCTAACTCCAGTTGGTGGCTGGTGAACACCTCTGCCCTGATTACTACTTGTTTTGCTACAGTTAGCTTCTTTATTCTCATGAGCCATGACCGCAGCATGTCCAGGCTCAGCTCTGCCTGCTCTGGAAGGAATACACAATTCCTTAAGCTGATCAGGTGACTCTAAATTTTATGTGGATTGTCTTAATTTTTATACTATGCAGTCATTTATTATTTTCTTGTAAAAGTTTAAACTATCACTATAAGCAGTCAAAAAAAGTGTGTGGACCACAGACTGAGTCTCTGCTCTCACATACTTTTTTATACAGTAAGAATGACAAGTACAGATGAAATGTTTTTTAAATGCTTTCATTATTTAATATTTCACTTAAGTTTAGAAGCTAAACATTCTTTAGAAAATTTAATAAAATGGAAAAAACTGAATGTTGTCTTGTCACAAAGGTGAGAAGGAAAAGCAGTAACTGCAACAAGTGGCTTGGGATGAGCTTGAGGAAAAATAATGTATCAGACACTGTAGCATGTCAAAGATCAGGTTTCCCATTTACTTTCAGTTTTACAAAGAAAGTTTGTCATTTGAAATATGTGAGTGTTATGGGAGGAGAGTAGCATATTTTAAAAGTATTTTAGGTAAAAATGAAGAAAATGACATAGCTAGAACAAAGTGAGCATAAGGATCACACTGAGAGGTTTTAATTATAATTCAATTTTCAGTTAACATGTGATAATTATAAAGCACACCAACTGGTTTTTGGAAAACATAAAAGGTAGAATATTTTGTATCAAGCGATAATCTCCATTAATCTTTTTCTGAAAGGCAGAGGCAGGATGGACTGCGTATTCTGCACTTTGGGAGATGAATCTATGTTGGAGCTGTTCACTGCCCACTGAGGAGCACAGCACAAGGCATCTGGGGATGAAGGTCATGGCACCATTTTTCGGCAAGGGGAGAAAATAATTTTTGGTTTCTAATATTCAAAGGAGAATTTTTGAAAAAATTAATATAAACTAGGTATGAATTTGACCATAGTAAAAAATATTTGACAGACCATTTGTGATTATCATTACATAACACAGATAAAAATTATTGATAATTCAAAAATTGAACAAGACAACAAACAGACTTGAACTAAACTGATATATATTGAACCTGGGCTTTATATTACATTCTTCAGCACATATGGGTCAATAATTTGATCTCAAAAAAGTTTTAACAAGTTATAACATATTTTATATAACAAATTAAAACATTTGAATTATAGAGTATAGCCTTACTACCCATTAAGTAATAATATTTTTGAAATGCTGTATTAAATTTCTTAAGTAGTAAAAATTAAAACTGGGACATTCCTAATGAATAATTACTTTGTTTAATAAATCACAATCGAGATTCTCCATATCAAAGTTGTAAACTGTATTTGATTCAATAGTATTCAGGCAAATAAGATAACTACAATTTCAAGTTCTAGAATAAAATGTGCCTGACAATATGTGCTAGAGGTCAATCTTTGAAGTCTATTAAATGAAGTATAGATTAAATACAGGTAATATGTAATAATAAATTATAATTTAGGTAATAAAATTTAGAATAATAATTGTTATACAAAAATAAATAAAATTAATGATAAAATTCACAGAGCTAGTGCAATGTTGAGAAAAATGTGAAAAGATAAACTTAATAAGAATAAGCAGCTTTAAACTTATTGGTAGAGTTTTAAAAACCCCTAGAGATTAAAGAAAACAAACATAAGAATAAATTAAAAATCTAGAGAAAATAATAATTTCTGTAAATTATAGACTACCAAAACCAAAGTAAGAATAAATGAAAACTCAGTAAACAAATTTTAAATATTTGGAACCATTAATCAAAAGTTCTTATTACTTTAAATGATTCCTTTTTCATTTTAAAAGTTTAGGTATTCATCATTCAAATCAATTTTACTAATCAGGAAAATGGGAAAAGCCATGGAAAGATTTTATATGGCTATTACACTCAATACATGCAAAATTTAAAACTAGGCCAATATAAATTATGGACTTGGATAAAAAAGTAGTATCTAAGTATACAAATAATAGCAAATTGTTTATTTCAGAAATATAGGATATACCAGTAGAAGGACCAAATCATATCATTACAAATTAAATGAGACAAGTACATTCGCTGAGGAAATCATTTTATACCCCTATACATTGTTTCTAAGCAAATTAACTTAGGAAAAATTATCAGAGAACATTTTCAGTCTTCATGATGGCAACACATCAGGATATGGAAATAACCAACACAAATGGCCAAGAAGCATGTAAAGTCGTGTTTACCATCCTTATTCATTAGGAAAATACAAATAAAAACCACAATGAGATATCACTTCACAGCTAGTAGTATGGGTACAGTTAAGAAGACAGATAAATGTGGGTGAGGACGTGGAGATGATTGGAGACTAATACAGTGCTGGTGAGATGGTAAAATGATGCAGCCATTTGGGAACATTTTGGCAAGTCCTCCAAAAGTAACCATAGAGTTACCATATAATCCAGCAATTCCACTCCAAAGGATATGCCCAATACAAATGAAAAACATACAGCCACAAGAAAACTTGTATATAAATGCTCACAGAAACATTGTTTGTTACAGCCAAAAGTGGAAACAATCCAAAATGGCCATCAGAAGAGGAACAGATAAACAAATGTGATATATTTATGCAATGGAATAGTATTTAGGTATAAAAAGTAACGAAGTACCCATATGGGCTACAACATGGATGGAGATTGAAAACATGCTTAATGAAAAAAGCCAGATATAAAAGGCCAGATACTTTATGAATCCATTTGTATAAAATACCCAGAGCAGGCAAATTCATCGAAACAGAAAATGAATTTTTTTGCCAGGTTGGGGGACGGGAGTAGGAAGTGACTGCTTAATGGGTGTGGGGTTTATTTTGGGAGTGATTATACTTTTCTGGAGTTACCTATTATTGACAATTGTGAATACACTAAATGGTAAACTTTAACATGATCAACATATTTAATTTTATGTTATATGATTTTAACCTCAATAAAAATAATTTTTAAAAATAAACTTGAAATAATTTTTGCCAAAATGCAGACCATCTTTTCAGCTGTAAGTGTAAACATAGCAAACACACACACACACACACACACACAAACACTAAATTAACAGAATGAAAAGTTAAAATAAAGAACGCAGAGTCATCAAAGTTCTATGGGTGCTTTAGGGTCACCTAGGAAAGCGAAAAATAGTTACACTCAGGCTTCAACTATGCATTTAGTGAAACTCTGTCATAGAAATGTATCTGGTCCTGGTAGATGAATCAATTAGGTATATTTGTGCAATGTAAAATATGCCTAAAAGAAAATATTTTAAAAAAAGTCATGACACTCATAAAGAAAATAACATATGGTAAAATAATATTTAACTTATGAAGGACCAACAGATATGCTAATCAGTTTTTTTAAAAAGCACAATCAGCCAGAAGAGTATTAATCATCAATATTGAGGTGAATATTTAAATGCAGGGAAAACTCATTTCATTACAGGGTTAAAGGAGAGACAATTGACTGGATAAGACAGCATGCACCTCTGACGGTGACCTAAAACTTACAAAGGGTTGTAAAAGCACTCAATGACATTACAGGCTAGAATCATATAACCTGGAATGGTGTCCTTTAGACAGGGCCAGGTTTATCACTGAAGAACACATTTCTCTCTACTATAAAAAGTAAAGTGGAAAGTTACAGTTTTCTCAAGAAGAGGGTACCATCATTAAGGTGACCAGGTTTTTATCATGGGTTTTTATCATTAAGGTGACCAGGTTTTTATCCCAGACCTGATCATGGCTCACAAAGGCTGCTCCCTAACCAGTGAGGGGCTGGCTTGGAGGTACACAGTGGGTGGGACTGAACACTGGTGTCTTGAGATGCCCAGGCCAGGTGGAGAGTCAAGTTGGGTCGAATGGAGCAAAGTTCACTGTCTTAGTCCTTTTTGTGACACTATAACAGAAGGCAAGACTTAAAAAATTATAAAGGAAAGAGGTTTACTTAGCTCACGGATCTGATGCCTAAGAATTACAAGATGTACGACCCTTACACCTGCTTAACTTCTGGAGGACCTCATGCTGTTTCCACTCAAGGTGAAAAGTGGAAAGAAAGCAGGTGTGTGCAAAAGAGATCACATGGCAAAAGGGGAACTGAGAGAGAAAGAGAGAAACCAAGGAATCCACATGCCTTTTAACAACCCACTCTTGCAGAAAATGAGAGCAAGAAGTTACAATGCAGGAGAGCATCAATCTCTTTATGAGGAGTCCACACCCATGACCTCAAATCTCCTACTAGATCCTACCTCCCAACACTGTTCCATAGAGAATCGAATTTCAACATGAGTTTTGTTGGAGACAGCCCACATCCAAATCATAACATTCACCAAAACCCACGACTAAGAAAAAGAAATGTTGGAGCTCTCATAGACATAGGTAGCAGGCTTGCCCCCTCTTCGCAAGAGCAGAGTCGCAGTTCCCATGAACCATGTGGACACCTCCTGTGGGAGATCGGCTGTGCCCACTGCCTGAGCTCATCCACACCTGTTTTTCTTGCTGCAACTTTTGAGTACCTGATGGGCAACACCTTGGAGCTGGTGGGCAATGAAGCCCACAATGGCCACAGAAAGTTCTGTAACATTGTAATAAAATGTATATTGTAGATGTAGAATTACATGTTATATATTATATAAAGTATATGTGTGTATGTGTGTGCGTGTATATATACATCCTTGCCACAGACATATGTTCATTTTGTTAGTAATTAAATATTCATGATTGGGGTTATTTATAAATATATTTTACTACAAACACAATTATCCATCTCATTCTTAGATGAAACACCATCTACCTAATGAACACATATATTTTATAGAGCTACATAGAGTTATCAGTGGCTAAATACCTGCCTTTTAAAATATTTTCTACATAAATGCTGTGCCAAGTGATGATCTCAAAACATATGTAAGTCTTATGAACATTTTCATGGGACGCATTGAATTAAAAGGTGGTATCTTATCAAGTTGTGCAGTTATCTAACCCCTTCACCTTGAGCACCAACTTTTGAGATTTTTACCTGTTCATCAAAGGCTCAAATGCCACTTTCTTATGCCTCTGGCCTTTACACAGACAGCTGGTAAGAGGCTGCCCAGTTCAGTTGAAGTACAGGATAAGATGGCCTGCCTTTGAGATACCAGTTTTCCACTTAGCAGCCATGAAGTCTTTCATATTTATTTATTCTAAGTGGCAGTTTTCTCATGTGTAAAATGGGGATAATGAGTTGATTCATCTTTGAGTTGTTCCCAAGCAGAAATCAACTTGAGACTGTAAACTTCTGCTCACTGCAGTGCTTGACACCAAATGTGTCCTTAATAAACAGCTAAATACACTTTTTTCTGTACATACCAGATACTTAATTGTGCTTACCCAAGATGCAGCCAAGCTGGGTCCTCAAATAACTCCCAATCCCTTGGGTCACAGGGTGTAAAAACCACACTCTGCTGAACTTTGTAGGGTGACAATGAGAGAAGGAAGACAGTTATGTCAGTGAACTACAGCACACACTGGCTCCTCTCCACTCCCCACTGCCTAGTGACTCACACACTCTGTGCCTCTTTTGACCATCAGTCAAAGCAGAAGAACCTGGCTTCACTTTTGCCGAGTTTGCTAGGATGACCTAAGAATAAAATAAACACTATAGAGGTTGTTCTTAGAATTCATTGAATATGTGCTTTTATTATACAAGAACCATTATTACCATATAATGCTCATCAAAACTTATGTTCATATGTCCCCCAAACAAATTTGTAATTTATTATACAGAGTCACGAATGACTCTTAATATAGCCCAATTCATTCCATGATTAACTTCTTCTATGGAAAAATAGACCATGGTAGTTAACATTTGTCTGAGTCAGGGGCTGACATAGGATTGCACCATCCCCTAGGCAAGGGCATGGGGACACAAGAGTCTAGAAGAGGCTAGCATGGGGGAGACGGCTTGGGTGGTCATTGTTTTTTTCTCTCAGGTCTGTGCTGCCTTCTCTCCTTTGTACAGTGCAGCATTTGAAGAGTACCCAGGATCAGGAACTTAGTTCATTCTGCTTGCTTGGAAGCACTCTAGATCCTACAGTCTTCTGCATCTACAACAACTTGTGCATCCCAGGGGAATACACAGAGTGCTTAATTGGGGACACACATCAAATAGAACTATAAATGTTTGCATTATTTCCCTGTCTCAAATACCCGTTTATATTTAGCTTAATCTTTAAGTTTAACAAAGTTAGATACAGAGGGAGGGAGGGAGGAATTAAGGAGAGCTGCGAAAGCGGACACCTCTATGCAGGTAAGCAAGGCACTAACAAGGCGTATTTCCATTTACTTTCTAGCAACCTCTTGGCTGCTTAGTGCTCAACCACATCAACAACTTTCAGTGCGTTAGATTCACCAAAGGCTCAGGATCAGCTTTGGAGACTATTTTACCTTTTTCCTAGCAGGAGAAAAATGAACAATAAGAAAAGCACTCAGGCTCCTTGTTTCAATCCTACGTCACACACACATAAGTCTAATTTAACAGATAGAATGAGATGGGGCTTTTATTCCCACCCTGTGCACCACTTGCCTGAGAGAATGTGCTACTGGTCCTGGGGAGCCTTCTCATATTCCTTTACCAGGCCTGCAAAGATCTGTATCCATTTCTTTTCCAGAAAGTCATTTTTCTCTTAGCATCCCAACCTCATTTCCAAAACTGTCAATAAATATGAAGTTTCTTAGATTTTACTCAATCCTTAAGCCAACATACTAACCTTCTCATTTCATGAATGCTGGCAGAAAGCATGAGACATCTACATATCACATAAAATACCCTTTTATTCATTGCATAACTGGGAATAGAGCTCAATGTTTGTATTCCTTTTTCTTGTCAACTCCTGGTACTTCAGGGAATGTAAAAAGGCTCCAGTGGACACTGCACATTCAGTACATTTGTGTCACAGCTGAGGACTCTCAGGGTTAAGAAAATCCTATTACTAAAGTGGCTTACAAGCTAATCTGCCCAACCTTTGCTTCATAGAGGGCATTATCTTTTTATATTGGTCAACTAATTAGCTGCAATCTTCAAAGGCTGTTTGACATACAAATATTTTTGAAAGACAGTCAGGAACAGGAGATGCTACATGTTGTGAAACAAAGCAAAACCTCCACAATCTACTAAATTACAGCAGCATGCATCTTTCCTCTTAAATGCAAAAATAGTCAATTCTTTGATGAAAAAGGTCCATTGAAGATTTTTGAGACCAAGATTAACCGTGTTTTGTGCTGTGGGGTTGCTGAGGAGTAAGAGGCAGAAAGAGAACAAAGGACAAAAAGCACTCACAATTCCTAATTTTAGAAAGAAAGAAAAACAATTTACAAAGCTATGAAAATCAAAACAGAAGGGCACTGGCATCAGGATAGACATATAGACAAATGGAATAGGATAGAAAGCCCAGAAATAAAGCCTTGTATATATGGTCAATTGATTTTTGAAATGGTGCCAAAACTGTTCAATAGGAAAAGAAGAGTCTTTTCAACAAATGATGTTAGAAAAGCAAATTCACATGAAAAAGAATAAAGATTATTTTTGTAATACAACATACAAAAATTAAATCAAAATGCATCAAAGACCTATATTTGAGTTAAAACTATAAACCTCTCATAAGAAAACATAATTAAAAACCTTAGGATATTGCATTTGGTGATGATTTATTAAATATGATACCAAAACCAGGTAAAAAAGAAAAAATCAGATGTTATTCTTTATCAACATCTAAAACTTTTGTGTTTCAAAGGACACGATAAACAGGATTAAAAGATCACCCACTGAATGAAATAAAAGATTTGCAAATTATGTACCTGATAACGGATTAATAGACAGTCTATTAGAAAATTCCTAAAACTCAACTAAAAGAATTGAAAAGGCCAATTAAGGAAAAGGTAGAGAAACTTAAATAGACATTTCTTTAAATAAGATATACAAATGACCAAAATAAGCACATTAATAAATGATCAACACCACTGGCCATTAGAGAAATTCACATCAAAACCACAATGAGATACCACTTCATAGTATTAGGATGGCTACATTAAAATTTTTTTAATGATAAATAATCCCTTGCCTAGAATGTGAAGAAACTGTAGCCATAGTGCATTGCTTGTGATAATGCAAATGGTGCACTGGCTGTGGAATATAGTTTGGTGGTTCCTCAAAAGTGTAACATAGAATTACTATATGACCCAGCAATTCCACTCTAGGTATATACCCAAAAGAATTGAGAGCAGGAACTCAGGCACTTTTACACCACTGACTATAAAAGCATTATTCACAATAGCCAAAGGTGGAAATAAACCCAAATGTCTACTAACAGATGAAAAAATAAATAAAAATATGGTAAATACATTCAATGAAATATTATTCAGCATCAAAAAGGAATAAAATTCTGATACATGTTATGACATAGATGAACCTTGAAGACATTATGCTATGTGAAAAATCTCAGATGCCAAAGAACAAATATTGGATGGTTTTATTTACGTGAGGTATTTAGAGTGGTAAATGCATACAGACAGAAAGTAGAACAGAGGCTACAGGGGCTGAAGGGGCTGAATTGGAAATTATCTTTTAATATATACAGAGTTTCTGTTAGGGATAATGAAAAGTTCTGGAAATGGTAAGTAGTGTTAATTGTACCACATTGAATGTACCTAATATCCTTAATGATACACTTAAAATATTAAATTTTATGGTATGTACATTTTATCACAATAAGATAATTCTTAGAAGAAAACAAAGGAAAAAATCTCTCTGTTTTTATAATAGGAAAAAATTTAAACAATAAAAGGCTCTAACTGGAAATAAAGAAATGTCCAATTAGATTACATTCATATGAATAGGTTCTTATCAAAGACACCTACATAGTGTTGATGGTTATGACAATGATGATAGATAGGTAGATACTTATTTACATACGTGAATATATACATACATAAAATGGCCAAGAAAGATCTCATATCCAGGATAGATAAATAACTCCTACTAACTAATAAAGAATAGATAGAAACACAAAAGAAAAATGAGCAAAATAAACCCACTGACACTTCAAGGAAGCGGCTATGCAATGAACAATAAACAGGTAAAAAATGTTCAACTTTCTTAGTATCCAAGGAGATGCAAATAAAGTCAATACTTAGTATAACCACATACTAACCAAAAGGTTAAAATAAAAACAAGGGAAAATATCAAAGGTTATAAATAATGTGGACAAACCAAGAATCATATACAGTGCTTCTGAATGTATTTTTTTGTTTGTTTTTTGAGGCAGAGTCCTGCTCTGTCACCTAGGATGGAGTGCAATGGCTCTATCTTGGCTCACTGCAGTCTTGGCTTCCCAGGTTTATATGATTCTCCTGACTTATTCTCCCGAGCAGCTTGGATTACAGGCAGCTGCCACGACACCCAGCTAGTTTCTTTACTTTTAATAGAGATAATGTTTCATCATGTTGGCCAGGCTGGTTGTGAACTACCGATGGCCTCCTCATCCTCCCTAAGTGCTGAGATTACAGGTGTGGGCCACTGAGCATGGCCTGAGTGTAAATTTCTGTGCAAACATTTTGGAAGAGTGTTTGGCAGTATCTTCTAAAGCCTAACAAATGTAAACACGTTTCATCAGTTTGATTACTAAGTATACACCCCAAGAAAAATACTTCTTACATCCTTAAATCACATTCTATATTTTACATGCTTTTACACACCACTACTCTTCCTAGTATCCCCAAAGGAAAACCACTCACATGTACATTTGCAGTGGAATATTTGAACTAATTGTTTGATAGTTTGATAGCCACATGATGGAATTCTATCACCAATGCTAATGAATAACCCAAAACAGTATGCAGAAATACAGGTAAGTTTCAAACAACATAAACTATTCAACATCGATATACAAAAATTCATGCTTTCTTACTTCATGTACATAAAGTAGAAAACGGTTGAACGTACAGGTGATCTATGCTGTTCAAAGTCAGTTTAGAGGTTACTTATGGAGATAGTAGCTAGGAGGGGCACAGGAATCATCTGCCTTTCTTTCTGTTGCCTAATTGCTCTGGCTAAATCTATGTTGAATAAAAGTGTTATGTGCATTGTTGAATAAAAGTTGAGATTGGCAACCTTGCCTTATTTCTAATATTAGAGAAAAAATTTTACTTTTTACCACTGACTATGATATGCAAATTATTCATTTATGGTCTTTAATATGTTGAGGTAATTTTCTCTGTTGCTAGTTTTTGAGAGTTTTTATCATGAAAGGATGTTGAATTTTATCAAATGCTTTTTCTGCATCTGTTGAGATGATCATGTCCTTTCTATTCTCTATTCCTTTAATGTTATGTGTAACAAGTATTGAATTTTATATGCTGAATCATTCTTTCATCTTAGCATTCCCACTTTGTTATAATGTAATATTTTTAATATGTTTCTTATATTTGGTATTGTGGCATTTTTTTAGGAATTTTTGCCTCTATGTTCTTCAGGGATATTGACCTGTAGTGTTCTTTTCTTGCGGTGCCTTTGGCTTCAGTATCAGGGTAATGCTGACCTCAAAATTAGTTTTGAAATGCTTCCTGCTATACAATTTCTTTGAAAACTTTGAGAAAGATTGGTGTTAATTCATCTTTTAATATTTGGTAGGGTTCACTGGTGAAGTCACCTGGTCCTGGACTTTTTTTATTTCTCTGAGACTTTTGATTATTGATTCTGTCTGTATACTTGTCAGAAGGCTGTGCAAACATTCTATTTCCTCTTGATTTGCTTTATGGATTGTACATTTTTGGGAATTTTTTCATCTCTTTTGGGTTATCCAGTTTGTTGAGATATTTATTCAATTGTTTATTCTTGAAAATATTTTAGTGGTTGTTATTTTAATAATTTTATGTTTAACTTTAATACTACAATCCAAAGTGATGTACCCTCCAACATTACAGTAATACAGTATTCTACCTTTGTCTATATATTTACTTTTACCAATAAGTTTCATGATTTCTCATGTTATTTAGAGTATTTTACTTGGTTGTTTCAACTTGAATAACTCCTTAGTATTTTTTGTAAGTAAGGTCTAGAGGTGACAAATTCCTTCAGCTTTTATTTATCTCGGATAATTTTTATCTCTCCTCAACTTCCGAGGCAGAGTTTTTCTAGGTATGATATTTTTTATTAGCAGGTTTTTTTTTCTTTCAGCACTTAAAGGTATCATCTCAGGGCTTTCTGATGTACAAGCTTTCTGCTGAAAAATCTACTTGTAGTTGTATGATCCTTCCCTTATATGTGGTAAGCCATATTTCTCTTGCTGTTTTTAAGATTCTCTCTTTGTTTTTGACTTTTGACAATTTGATTATAGAGAGTCTCAGTGTGGTTTTTTTGGTTCATCTTATTGAGATCCTTGGACTTCTTGGATGTCGATATCCATTACTTTCCCAAGATTTGGGAAGTTTTCAGACATTATTTCTATAAACAAGCTTTCTGGTTTTCTTTTGTTATTCTTCTCCTTCTAAGGTATGTATACTGTGTATTTTGGTGTACTTGATAATGTTTCGCTGTACTCTTAAACCTTCTTCATGCTCTTATGTTTTTTTCTTTTTGCTGCTGTGACAAATTATTTCCAATGACCTGTCTTCAAGTATGCTGAGCCCTCTTCTGCTTGATCTAGTTTGCTGTTAAAATCATCTAGTGAATCTTTAAATTCAGTTATTGTGTTCTTCTATCTCACTATTTCTCTTTGGTACTTTTAAAATATTTTATATTGCTTTTTAAAACTTTCACCTTGTTCATGTATTGTACTGTTGAACTCAGTGGGCATCTTTATGGAAGTTATTTGTAATTCTCTCATATAACTCCATTTCATCAAGAGTGTTTCTGGACATTTACCTTATTCTTTTTTCGGAACATCTTTGCCTAGTCCTTTATTTTCATTGACTTTGTGTTGGTGTCTGTACATTAGACAAGGCAGGCACCTCTCCGAGTCTTTGTAAATTGGCCTTATATGGTAGACTCCCACCAATCATGATGTCAGAAACTCTGAGGGCTACTAACAACTCTATCATCAAAGAGGCACAAAAAGCTGTGATTTTCATACTTTTGCTCTATACTTGGTGGGAGGGGGAAAGATATGTTAGCTACTAGCCCAAGTTGCCCTCTCCTTTCTCCTTCAGGTAGCTTGTCTGTGCCAGGTCCATCAGAGTTTAAAGACTTATGAGACAAATGTGGTTCATTGGGCAGCCCTAGAAAATCTGGGGCACTTGCATGCATGAATCAACTCTTTCCTTTCCCAGAGGGATGCTCAGAGTTGCAATTTATCATTCTCAGACTCCGCTGGGAAGAGGGAAAGATGAACTGTGTCTACTAGCCCAAGCCACCATCTCTGTTCTTTCCTGGACAGTGAGATGGTGCCAGATCCATCAGTGCTTTAGGACTGATGAGACACATGCTATTTCTTTGAAAAGCACCAGAAAACTTGGGGTGCTAGATGCATGAATCAAGGTTTTTCCTCCTCATAGGGATGTTGATAGCTAATATTTTTTATCCAATCACTCTGGGCTGAGCAGAGGGGCAGAATCAATGTCATATGCTGGTGTACTCTATAGCTTCTGTTCCCTTGCAGCAAGATAGATTGTGCCAGAACATTCAGCGTTCCTACCCTGGCAAGAAAAAAAAGCAAGTTCTGACGAGAGCTCCCTTAAAAGTTTGAAATATGAATTTGTGAGTCAATCCCCTCCCTCACCTGAGTGAATTTGGGAGCTAAGGGGTCTTTTTCTGATCACATGACACTACACAAGGGGTAGTGTATCCAAAGAAAGGGTGTCTCAAATACCCACTGTGGCTTTGGTCAGGCTGGCTTTGTGTTCTCCCAGGGTGCAGAAGTATTTCAATTAATTTAAAATTTCTCAGCAATAAAATTTGAGGGTAAATTCTTGTTAATCAGTGTGTTTGGCAGAGGGACAATGGTACAGAGATACCACCTTTGCCATCTTGCAGATATTACTCAGATACTGAGCAGTTCTAGCACTAGAATATCTCCTCTTGTCCTGTTATAAGCAAGCCCACTCCCCTGCTGCCACCATACTCACTCCACTCTGAATATTTTGCCAACAAGTTCTTCTCTATTTTCATAATTTTATCTTTCCAGCGAAGTATATAAAATTTTGTGATTGACTTTACTTCCCGTTCAGCATAACTCCTTGAAGATTTTTCCAAGTTGTTTTTGTGTATCAATATGTATTCCTTTTTATTGCTGAGTAGTATTTATCCAATTCTCCTTTCAGTATGGTCACTTTATTTCTTTCCTAATTTTGCAGCTATGTTGTTTGGTGCATAAACAGATTATTATATCTTCTAGAGAGATTGATTATTTTATCATTATATCATATACTTTTAAGTTTCTGGTAATTTTGTTTGCTTTGAAGTCTACATTATATGATCTTAGATTAGCCACTCCTGCTTTCCTTCGATTAATACTTAAATAATATACCTGAGTTTTCTAATGTGAGCTCTAAAAGAAGGCTTTTCCACATTGACTGTAAGCCTGGGAATCTCCTCATTGTGAGAATGTTCATGTTGAGTAGGTAATGAGACATTATGGAAGTCTTCCCTTCATGTATTTCTCATAGGATTATTTATAAAGAGTAAATTCTTGCATGTTCTACAAATGTTTCTCTATGAGTAAAATTTTCTTCAAGTTTATTTTATGGAATAATTCTCCCAGTATGAATTATCTGGTATTCTCCAAGAGGCTTCCTCCTCCTGGTAAATATTTCCTTTTGTATTTCCTGTTTTAAGAGTTTTTCTTAATCTGGGTATAATTGTACACTTCCAGTGTATAGGTACACTGGTCTTTGAATTGTTAACTAGTACCCCACAGAAAGAATTTCATCATTAATGTCCATTGTTTATGCCCAGTTCTCTTTGCATTTAGACTTATAAATTCCACTTATTTCCAAAAATAAATCTTTCCCCCGCTACCTGTAATGTTTGTTTCATACATTTGTAATACAGTTAAATGATTTTTGTGACATTCCTTATTCATGTTGAAACAACCTTACCTTCTAAATTATTTCTCTTAAATTGCATACATAAAATGTACTATTTTTGCTGTAAAATTCTCTGCATTTTGAAAAATGCACAGTGGCAACAATAAACCATTAAAGCCCTGTATAGGATGCTTTATCTATTAACCCACCAACCCATGTTCCAACGGCAATCACTGATCTCTTCAACATCTCTGCTGTTTTGTCTATTCCAGGATGTCATATTAACAGAATGATAAGGTGTGATACATTTTAAACTGTCATTTAGAAGAGACTTCTGTATATTCAAGATTAATCTGTGTACTTTTTTTGGCTTAATGACCTATTCCTTGAATTGGGTACTAAAATGACATTGAAGGAATGGACCATAATTTGTTTATCCATAAAAGTAGTGAAAGATATATTGGTTTGTTCAACTTTTCTGCCATTAAAAATAAAACTACTGGAAATATTTTGATCATCATTTCTGTATAGAAAAGTTTTTAAATCAGTTGGCTAGATACCTGGGAGTGAAATTGGTGGAGTATATGGTAAAAGTATAAAAATATCTTCCCAAATGATTGTACCCTTATGAATTCCCACCAGCAATGAATGAGAGGTACAGTTGTTCCACGTGCTTGCCAGTAATTGTTCTTGTTATTTAAAAAATTGTCATCCAATAAGTGTGTATTAGTATCATATCCCTGTGTTAATTTTTTTTTCTCAATGACAAAGACTGTTGAGCATTTCTGTGTGCTTATTTGCCTTCTCCATATATTATTTGATAAGGTGTTTGCTCAGTTAGTCACTCATTTTTAAGAATTCGGCTTTTTTTTCTTGCTGGATTTTATGAGTTCCTTGTATGTTATATACACAATTTCTTTTTTTTCAGATTTGTGCTATGTTAGAATTTTCTTTCAATCTGTGTATTGTATTATTTTGTAAGCAGTATTTTTTTTTGTAATAAGGTACTTCTTATCAAATTTTTCTTTCATGAATTGTGCCTTTGTTTTGTCTAAAAATTTAACCCATAATCAAATAGGCCTTATGTATGCTTACTTCTAGGACTTTTATAGCTATTAATTTTGCATTTAATTACAAGTAAATCTCAGAGATATTTCAGGTTTGGTTCTAGACCACCACCATAAAGCAAATACCACAATAATGCCAGTTACATAAATATGCACTGGGAAGTATGTTTATAATATAATGCAGTCTATGAAGTGTGCCCTTTGATTATGCCTAAAAATATGGTATGTACTTTAATTTAAAAATACTGTATTACTAAAATGCAAACAGTCATCTCAGTTTTGAGTATGTTGTAATACTTTTGCTGGTGGCGGGTCCTGCCTCAGTGCTGATGGCTACTGATTGATCAGTGTGGTGGTTGCTCAGGGATGGAGCAGCTTTGGCAATTTCTCAAAATAAAATAGCAATACAGTGTGCCACAAAATCGACTGTTTCTTCACAAAGATTTTCCTTCAGCATGTGATTCTCTTTGATAGCATTTGACCCACAGTAGAACATCTTTTAAAACTGAAGTCAGTACTCCCAAACCCTGCCACTGCTTTATTACGTTTACATAATATTATAAATCTTTTGTTTTCATTTTAAAAATAATCATAGTGTCTTTACTAGAAGTAGATTCCATCTCAAGAAACCACTTTTTTTGCCCATCCATAAGAAGTAATCTCTTTAAGTTTTATCATGAGATTGCAGCAATGTAGTCACATGTTCAGGGTTTCTTCCTAATTATAGGTGTCTTGCTAGTTCTGCCATGTCTGCCTCCACTAAAGCATTGAGCCCCTAAAACTCATTCATAAGGACTAAAAGCAACTGCTTCCAAACTCCTATTGACCTCCTCTCATGAATCATCAATGTTCTTAATGGTACATAGAATGGTGAATTCTTTCCAGATGTTTTCCATTTAATTTGCCCACCTCCATCGGAAGAATTGCTATTTATGTCTATTGTAGCCTTACAAAAAGTATTTTATTATTAATGAGACTTGAAAGTCAAAATTACTTTTTTATTCATAGACTGCAGAGTCGATGTTGTTTTAGCAGGCATGAAAACAACATTAAACTGAAGGATGTACATCTCCATCAGTGCTCTTGGATGACAAGGGGCATTATTGATGAGAAGTAATTTTTTTATTATTATTATTATACTTTAAGTTTTAGGGTACATGTGCACAATGTGCAGGTTAGTTACATATGTATACATGTGCCATGCTGGTGTGCTGCACCCATTAACTCGTCATTTAGCATTAGGTATATCTCCTAATGCTATCCCTCCCCCCTGCCCCCACCCCACAACAGTCCCCAGAGTGTGATGTTCCCCTTCCTGCATCCATGTGTTCTTATTGGAGAAGTAGTATTTTTAAAGACAACTTTATTTCTGAGTGGTAGGTCTCAAGAGTGGGCTTAAAATCGTTGTAATTGTTATTGTAACCTGATGCGCTGACATCTGGTTACAGGCTTTGTTTAATTTATAGAGCCCAGGCAGAGTAAGTTTAGCATAATTCTCAAGGGCCATAGGATTTTCAAAATGGTAATTAAGTGTTGGCTTCAACTTAAAGTCACCAGCTGCATTAGTCCCTAACAAGAGAGGTAGCCTGCTCCTTGAAGCATTGTAGTCAGGCATTGACTTCTCACTTCTAGCTATGAAAGTCCTGGATGGCATCTTTTTCAAATTTAAGGCTGTTTTGTCTACAATAAAAATCTGTTATTTAGTGTAGCCACTTTCATCAATTATCTTCTGGATAACTGGCTGCATCTTCTATATCAGCACTTGCTGCTTTATCTTGCACTTTTGTTATGAAGACAGCTTTTTTCCTAAACCTTATAAACCAAACACTGCTATCTTAACATTGGTTAAGTGAAATAAGCTAGGCACAGAAAGACAAATGCTGCATGATTTCACTTATATGTGGAATCTAAAAATGTTGAACTCATGGGAACAGAGTAGTATAGTGGTTACCAGGGGATGGGGAAATAATAGTCAAAGTAAACAAAATTTCAGTCGGATTCTCAACTGTACGTATGTACATATTTGAAAATATCATGTACATAAAATACATACAATTTTTAGTTTTCTACTAAAAATTAAAGGAGAAAAATATATAAAGCTTCATGATTATTAGAAGGCAATTATGACCAATTGAAGAAAGTAAATTAGAAAGTATGTTAAATAAATGTAAACATTTTAAAAGACATATAGATATAATTTCTGCATTTGAAAAATATAAAATTAATTGAAAATATTTTTGGCTTTGTTATAATAAAATAATTAAACAATATAGAGTGTAGACAAGATGACCAACTAGATGAAGCCAGGAAATGCCACTTCCACCAGGAGACACAAAAATATTAACGATTTGAGCAGATCTTCAGAGAAAAAACACCAAGAGTGGATGGAGAGGCAAGGAAGACAGTGAGGTTGAAGAGGGAGGAAGCTGGGAACCCAGCATCAGGGGTGTAGAAGTTCAGTCAGGGTTGTGGAAAAAGTTGTAAGAAAAAGTTATAAGGAAAGATGCAAACCTTCTTGGAAGGCTGGGAGGTTTTGCAAAAGCTTTGAAAGAGAATTTGGATAAGGCAGGCAAATTTTCTTATCTGGAGACTGAGAGCAAAGGGCAGATAACAAGGGAATGTAAAGGAACTTATCTAGATGAATTTGTTTACTCCTGTCTCCAGAAACCAACTTTTGGTCATTCACACGCAGGACTGTTCTCTACTTGGGGAGTGACAATGTTTATTACCCACAAGTTGTTTTTGCTCCAAGCCTTTGTCATTAAATCTGTACTAAATAAATGCAAGCAGGGCCTGCTCATGGGGGCTGCACTCTCATTGGCTGCTGCACTCTGGTCGGTGGTTCTGAGCGGTGCAATCCCATAGCCACACTGTCAGGTAAAATACCTGTGTCTGCATACTCCTTTCATCCGTTGCTCACCCAGAGTTTGCAGGACAGACTCAGCAGGGGGTGCCGCATGTGGGGGATGCCACATGTGAGGAACCCTGCAACAGATCATTAAGAAACCCTGAAAAATGAAGGTGAAGAGACTTTGCATTCAGTAAGGCATTGTTGCCCACTCGGGATTTCCAAGTTCAAGAAATTGTTCAGGCTATCATTTCATCATGGGACAAGTTATCAGCTCAAAAGCAACAGTATATAAAAGTATTGAAACAACTGCTTAAAGCTAGTGGAGCCTCAGTTTCACAGGCTCAATTAAGGGACCTAATGCAAACTGTTGTTTCCCATAACCCATTGTTCCCAGAAGAAGGCAAACTTAACAACCTTTATAGTCTCAGCCATAGTCATTTTCAGTCATCTTAGCAACTGCTAGTGTTGTTGTGGCTACCATTACTGAATCAGCACAAACAGCTAGCTTTGTAGATAACTTGGCCAAAAAAATGTATCCAATGAACTTCTCTTACAGCAGGGTATAAATCAAAAGATTCTTGCATGCCTGCAAGCCCTTGAGGCTGCCTTGGAATATGTAGGTGGGCAGCAAGATGCACTGGCTTTCAGACAGCAATTAAACTCTGACGGGGAGCATAAGCATATCTGTGTCACCTCTCTACCTTGGAATAAATCAATACACAGTTGGGATGAGGTGAAGCAACACCTCTGTGGAACTTTACATGGTAATTTAACAGTGGACATAAAACAACTTAAAACTAAAATTCTAGAGTTCCTAAACACCATAGATCTACACACCCAACAAACAGCCATATGGAAAGATGTGTGAGAACATGTCTCCTGGATAGACTCCCACCCCTGGGGGGTTACTCCTTTTTTGGAAAATAATATTACTAATTATACTCATGTTTGTCTTATGTTATTTACTAATTCTAAGATTCAAAGCCAGAATATGAGCAATGACAGCTAAGCCAGACAAACCTGTTGCTGTATACATTTGTACTCTTCAATCAACAAAACCTGATGCAAAACACAGAAAAGGGGGAGATATAGGAGTTCAGTTAGTGTGGTAGGAAGAGTTATAAGAAAAAGTTATAGGGAAAGATGCAAGCCTTCTTGGAAGGCTAGGAGGTTTTGTAAAAGCTCAGTCTCTTATTCAGAGACTGAGAACAAAGGGTAGATAACAAGGGAATATAAAGGAACTTATCTAGATAAATTTGTTTACTCCTGTCTCCAGAAGCCAACTTTTGATCATTCGCACACAGGACTGCTCTCCACTCGGAGGGTCGACAATGTTTATTACCCACAAATTGTGTTTGCTCCAAGCCTTTGTCATTAAATCTGTTCTAAATAAATGTGAGCAGGGCCAGCTTAAGGGGGCTGCACTCTCATCGGCTGCTGTGCTCTCATCAGCGGTGCTGAGCAGTGCAATCCCCTAGCCATGCTGTCAGGTAAAATACCTGTCTCTGCATACTCCTTTCATCCATTGCTTGGCCATAGTCTGTGGGACAGACATAGCACAGAGGCCCAAATGCTAGGTTCAGTTCCCAGACCCAAATAGCTCCAAAAGCAAATGCAACAAAAACAAAACAAATAAATGGGACCCAGCTAAACTAAAGAGCTTCCACACAGGAAAAGAAATAAGCATCAGAGTAAACAGACAACCAACAGAATGGCAGAAAATATTTGCAAATTATATATCTGACAAAAGACTAATACCCAGAATCTACGAGGAACTCAAATCAGCAGGAGAAAAACAAATAATTCCATTAAAAAGTGGGCAAATGTGGCAGGTGCAGTGGCCCATACCTGTAATCCCAGCACTTTGGGAAGCAGAGGTGGGTGTATTGCTTGAAGTCAGGAGTTCGAGACCGGCCTGGCCAACATGGTGAAACTGTCTCTACTAAAAATACAGAAATTAGCTGGGCATGGTGGCATGCACCTGTAATCTCAGCTACTTGAAAGGCTGAGGCATGACAATTGCTTGAACCCAAGAGGTGGAGGTTGCAGTGAGCTGAGATTGTGCCACTGCACTCCAGGCTGGGTGACAGAGTGAGACTCTACCTCAAAAAAAGTGGTTAAATCACATGAATAGACACTTTTTTAAAAAAAAAGATATCAAAATGTCTAAGAAGCATATGAAAAATGCTTAGCATCACTAATCATCAAGGAAATGCAAATTAAAACCATAGTGACATACCATCTTACCCAAACCAGAATGGCCATTATTAAAAAGTCAAAAAAACAATAGATGTTGGCATGCATATAGCAAAAGGGAATGCTTACACACTGCTGGTGGGAATGCAAATTTGAACAACCTCTATGGGAAACATTATGGAGATTTCTCTAAGAACTAAAGGTATATGTAGCTTTTGATCTGGCAGTCTGACTACTGGGTATCTATCAAAAGGAAAATAAGTCATTATATCAGAAAGAAACCTGCACATGTATGTTTATCACAGCATAATTCACAATTGCAAATATATTGAACCAACCTAAGTAAGTGCCCATGAACCAATGAGTGGATAAAGAAAATGTGTCCCATATACACCATGGACAACTACACAGCCATAAAAAAAGAATAAAATAATGTATTTTGTAGCAAGGTGGATGGAGCTGGAGGCCATTCTTCTAAGTGAAGTAACTCAGGAATGGAAAACCAAATACTGTATGTTCTCACTGATAAGTGGGAGCTAAGCTATGGGTGTGCAAAGGCATACAGAGTGGTATAATGGACAATGGATACTCAGTGGGTGAGGGAGTGGAAGGAGAGTGAGGAATAAAAACTACAATTGAGTACAATGTACACTACTCAGGTAATGGGTGCACTAAAATCTCAGACTTCACTACTATACAATTCATTCATGTAACCAGAAACTGCTTGTGCTCCAAAAGCTACTGAAATAAAAATATGTGTATTAAAGGAGAGAAAACTGATCTTATTAGAAAATATGTTCCTAAAAATTATAAAATGTTTCCCATCTGTAAAATACTCATATATTTATTTGTGCATATATATGCACATATATACACATATATACACACACATACACACACACACATATATATATATTTGACTGTAAAATACAGGCAATTTAAGGTTTCTTACTTCCTAGGTTTTCAATAAAATTTAAGATTATTAAGATTTAATATCCTAAGTCAGGCGCAGTAGCTCAAGCTTGTAGTCCCAGCACTTCCAGAGGCCGAGGCAGGTGGATCATGTGAAGTCAGGAGTTCAAGACCAGCCTGGCCAACATGGCAAATACTGGTCTCTACTAAAAATAAATAAATAAATAAAAATAAATAGGCAGATGCAGTTGTGCACATCTGTAATCCCAGCTACTGGAGAGGTTGATGTAGGAGAATGACTTGAACCCAGGAGGTGGAAGTTGCACTGAGCCGAGATCACGCCAAGGGAGACTGTCTCAAAAAATATTATTATTCTAATTAATATATAGAATTGGAACACCTAGATACAAAAGAAACAATTCTGTATGTAAAATGTAAAAGAAAATTAGGATTTGTTTTTGGTAAGAAAGTTACAAGAAGACGTGAGGATATGGTTTTTGAGAAAATACAAATGATAGGTAAATCTGAATGGATGTACAAACTTGGAAAAGAAAATAAAAAATTGTAAGAAGTTATAAATGTTTATGGAAATCTTACCTTGCAGTCAAAACTGTTTGAAATTGAACAGATTTGTTTATATGATTTTCTTAAAATTAGCTGTAATGTTTAAAATACACTAATACAAAATTAAAAATTTTGATTCAATCAGGGCTTTCTTATTGATTTGCTCTCAATGAGACTGCAAGAAATATTGACTTTTAATTCTGAAATTTTTTTTTAATTCTCAGATTTATATCTCAGAATTTCTACTTTTTCTGTACCTTGATACATGTATGATTTGCAGATGACATCATTGCCTTCTATTCCTTTTTCCCTTGAAAAGACGTATCTTTTTGCTAGGCTGGGATGATGCCCCTTTCCTTCAACTTTGAAGTTCCTTCAACTTTTTTATCAGCTCCTGTAACATTTTTCCCCTAGTTCTAATTCTCCTGTTATGGCATAACACTATAATATTTATTTTAAAGCAATATTTTCCTCAAATGTAATGTTGTTTTGTACTTTTGCTTTTTGATATGAACTGTTTCATGTTGCCAGGAAACTTTCCACATGGTCATTAGGAGTAATGTGTCTCCCTGCTCAAGGTACTAGTTTTCTTGTTCACCTTTCTCTATAATACAACATTCTCACATGACCCTGGACACATTCTTCTTGTGTGTAATTAAATGCACATACCCTTTTTATCAGGTTTGGCTTCCAAGTTATCTAAATAAACATTATACAAAAAGAAGTAATCACACTACAGGAGGTTTTTCTTTACCTTTTTGATTACTGGCCTAAAAATAAAGATTTTACATTTTATCAAGATAATCCTGTGTTGTCTTTATTTTTTTTTCTGATTGGTTGTGAAAACTGGGCAGTAACAGTGTTAAGGTTTTTATACTGGTGAAACTTTCTGTATTGCTTTTGAGGTCTTTTGATTATCACTCTAGCTAAATGAATAACTTATTTTAAAATGACCAATGATTTTGTTTTGATCAAGTGTTTTGAACCTTCGGCATCTTCAGTAAGACATTTGGAAAACTGTATGGAAGGCATTATCGAATCATAAATAACATTGATCTTCTTACATTTATGGATATGTTATTGATATAAATTTTCCAAAAATGATAAAAATTTATAAAAATCCATGTGGTATTGGTCATACTTTTAACTATGTTAAATCTTTTCTAAAGTTATATTTGTATAGATATATTATTAGTCTAACTATTCCAAGGATTTTATAAAATTTACAAAAGTCTGCTGGTTCTAGTGTGATGCTGTCATTCATAATTCTGGTTATTATCTTCAAATGCTGCATATAATAACACATTTCTTGCCAATTGAAGACTTTCATCAGAATTTAATCGTGGCTATTGTAAGTTTTTGTAATCAGAGTTACTCTTTTAAATTCTTCTCCAAAAACAATTGCAATAATCTATAATTCAAATTACTTTTCATGAAAAGGATTTTGATGAGTGCTCTAAAATTCAAGTCTGATAACTTTGGAAATTATACCATTGGACTAGAAAAACCTTCCAGGACTCTATGGTAAAAAGCTGCATGAGGATTGCTGATCCAATATTAAGTGGAAAAGAGGAAGCAGTAAAAGAAATGAACTTTTTGTGTGAAGACTATTTTGCACACAAATTTATCATACTATGATTTTTCTTTGGTAAAAATGGGGAATCAGAGACACAGAAATTACGTTTTGAAAGAAAACTGTAACACACCTGTCTCTGTTACCAGTAAACCAAATACGTAACTTTCAGAAAGTGTCAGGGACTTTATATGCACCTCCTGCATATACAATTGTTTGTCAATATGTCAACCACTCATTGGCTTGGGAATGTGTTGACAGCTGGCACATTAGAGATATTTGTCTATTAGGTTATCTGGCTACTCCCATTTCTATTTATAGTTCCAGTGTTACTCATTACTGAACTAGTTCCTAAGATTCATTTTTCAGGACTAGATGAACCCTACCAGAAAACAGACTTTGGCCTATGTTTGGCAGTTATCTATCATCATGGTGGGGAGTAGTCCCTTATGAATATATGGTTAGAAATCTGTCAATCACTCTAGATAACTTAGAGAATGAAGCAACTGAAGCCTTAGCTAACCAACAAAAACTTTAGACTTTTTAGGCAGAGTAATCCTGGATAACAGAATATCCTTAGACCACATATTGGTGGAGCAGAGAGGCGTTTGTATATTATTATAGCTAACACATCATGTTGTGTTTACATCAATATATGTTCTGAAGGTAAAAGACATTTAGAAACAAAAAGACAAGCTTATTGGTTACAACAAACTCTTAGAGAAGAAGGAGGTACCATCTGGTTCTCACATTTATTTTCCTTGACCCACACACAGAATTTGATCTATGCTCCAGGGCATAGTAAAATAGGAATTTTATCTATTATTAATATTCATTGTTGTATATCTGGTAATCTGGTAATGCTGCTTCCAATGCTATGTCAAAACTGTTTTTCAAAAGCAATGCCCTAGTGATGTAAAATCTTTTTACCATAGAGTCCTAGAAGGTTTTTTCTAGTCCAATGGTATAATCTCCAAAGTTATCAGACTTGTATTTAAGAGCACTCATCAAAATCCTTTTCATGAAAAGTAATTTGAATTATCGATTATTGCAATTGCTTTTAGAGAAGAATTCAAGAGTAACTCTGATTACAAAAACTTAGAATAACCATGATTATGATGAAAGTCCTCAACTGGCAACAAATGTGTTTTTTATTATATGCAGCATTTGAAGATAATAACCAGAATTATGACTGACAGCACACATTAGAACCAGCAGACTTTTGTAAATTTTATAAAATTTTGAATGTTAAATCAGATGTTAGTGAATATCTTCAACTTAATATGAAGCAATTTCATTTCTCACATTCAGACCTTTACCCCTAGTCAAACGGAAGAAGCTAGAGTGGACATTGTTCCTAATTCCTCATGATGAAAAAATGTACATAGGACAAGGGGGACAAAATTTATTGCCCAAACAATTAAAAAAACACTAATGATGTTACAGCCTAAATTTCCATTGTATGTTTTATACTACCTTCCCCCAATTTGCACATGCAACCCATGAGTCAGCATGGAGAAATAACTGCTCATGCCCAAGGACCTTCCAGACTTCCCCTTTCCCTGCATTAATAACCTACTCATCTCAGAATACACCCTCTGTACCTTTTCCTAATAGAAACACTGCCTTGAAGGCAGCATGAGGAGACAGACTTGAGCTTGCCTCCTTGCAGCATAAAGCTTTTCTTTTCTCAAAAACCCAGTGTCACAGCATTGCCTTCTAGTGTATCAGACAGCAAGCCCCTTTTGCTTCCTAACATGATTTATCTAACTTCTAGGATGTTGGAGAGCTGGCCAGACAGATGTATGTTAATAAAAATCAAAACAGTCTGCATGAGGTGGGGTGGGTAAATATTAGTTGAAAAGTTAAGAGGGAGTATTTTAAGTGTTAATGAACATGATCTATATATTGATAGGACTTGTTAAATACTTTAAGTGATATAAAGTTTTAAAAATCTGTAAAGCCAAACACTTTACATGTGCAGATTTTAATACATTTTAATTTTATAATAATATAAAATGACAAAAAAAGGTAAAGAATGATCATTAAACAGCAACAGAGGTAAACATCTTTTACTTACAAATGTCCCCCTATCACTGAGCATATAACTGACAAATCCAAGATGCCAATTGCTGGTTGGGTTCCAAGCAGAATGTTGGAGCATTCTCTGGTGTTTGTTACAGCTTCAGAATCCATGGTTATTGGGCAGAGCCCTGTGGTGGCTGCAGTGCCATGGAGAGGCTGCCATCCTCTGAGGGCCTAGGCCCTGGGCTGACCTTTGGGAAGCTAGGCAAAATGGTGGTGGAGCTGCTGCCCCCTGACCTGAGTCCACACCTCACCTTCTGCCATCTCCAAAACAAGACACTGGTGTGTCCATCTCTCATTAGCTTATTGGTGAGTCAGTGCTTGGGAAGTCAACTTTATGAAAGACATAAAAAGCAGCTTGTGGAAACACTGGATTTGCAGATGCAGGAGCAATGCCACCTAAATGCCAAAAAGAAGTTTGCAGAGGTCAAGCCATCTTTAGAGAATGTCAGGGTAGACAAAGTCTTTTTAGATATGCCCAGCCTTATAGATGTTAACAAAAAGATTCAGAATACCAATTCAATGCTAATGAGCATGAGGGTGGTGAGTGTGAAGATTAGGCAGAGGTCAGAGTGGCCTAACTCACTACAAAAATAAAAAAGATAATGTGGGGCGGGGGGTGGCGAAGGCCACCAGGGGTCTGATGATGCATGGAGCCATTGCCATAATAGAGTGTAATTTCAATATAAAAGGTCAGAGGCTACCATGTGAGAAACAGGGTAAAGTAGGGAGACTGGGTGGGAGACTCTGACAATTATTGAGGCTGAGGATGGTGATGGCTGGACCTGAGGAAGCAGTGGAGGTGGAGATGGAGAGATGGGGTTGGACCCAGGACTTGTGCTGCAGGCAGAGACCATGGGACTTGCTGATGCCTCTGGGTGCTGAGAAGAGGGAAGTCAGGATAAGGACAAGGTGTCCTGTGTGAGCTTTTGCATGGCGGGGTGTCCTTCACTGCAACAGAAAGATATGGCAGAGGAGTGCATCTGGATGATAGTTGTTTGGGAGGAGACGACTGAAAACTTTTGACACCAGAGTAGAAATACAAAGCACTCCAAGGAATATAATATATAAGATTCAAAGGAACTATCACTGGGGCAGCTATAAATGTGATGGGTCATGAGGGAGTGAAGTTACTACAGCAGAGAAGACATTCAAGGTCACCAATATGTTCCATGGGATAAATCCAATGGTCCTGCTGTTGGCCAGAGCCCTTCTTAGGTTTTCCAGTATCAACAATACCACAGAGTCTCAAGAGTGACCTACCCCAGTCTGTTCCTGCAAGCTGGGGCTTGAGTTTTTCAGAACCTCCATAGCTCAGCCTCCACCACATACGTGTGTATGCATGTCCACATGCCATATACATACATGTGCATATTGATGAAGATTCTGTCTTTGACCAGGCTCTGGACAGGCTCTCCTGAGTTCTCTTCTAAAGTAGGCCTCAACTTTGGCCCAGGAAAGGTAGACTCATCACAAATGATTAAGTCTGCCTCTTCCACTGCATTTAAAGGCTTAAACAAACATTCATATAATTCTCTCACCTCAAGGCTATAGTTGTGTACCTGTTAACCAACCTGTCTCCATCCCTCTGCACCCTACCCTTCCTATCCTCTGGCAACCACTATTCTGCTTTCTATTTCCATGAGAACAAGTTTATCAATTGCATATATGAGTGGGATCAAGTGGTAATTATCTTTCTCTGCCTGGCTTATTTCACCTAACATAATATACATAGGAGTGCGGATATCTCTTGGACATACTGATTTTATTTCTATTGGCTAATATACCCAGTAATGGGATTGCTGGATCATATGACAATTTTTCTTAATTTTTTTGAGAAAGGTTTATACTATTTTCTGTAATTGTGTATAAGTGCTCCCTTTTCTCCATATGGTTGTGAGTACTTGTTATCTTTTTATTTTTTGAGGGGAGACATTCTGCCTGAAGTGACACTTTACCACATTGTTGTTTTGATGTACATTCTCTTTGATTATTCGTTTTCTCCTTAAGGGGAACTTTTTATGTTTTTTTCCTGATTTTATAAGTAATACATTCTCATAGTATGAAATTTAAACAATTCACAGATGAGTATTAAATTAGACAATTCAAATTTCCCATAAACATATTCCTCAAAGTCACTGTTAACAATTTGATGCATATATTTGATATTTTATTTTATTTTATTTTAAGTTCCAGAATACATGTGCGGGACATGCAGGTTTGCTACACAGGTAAAGGTGTGCCTTGGTGGTTTGCTGCACAGACCATCCCATCACCTATGTATTAAACCCAGTATCCATTAGCTGTTCTTCTTGATTATCTCCCTCCTCCAAGGCCCCTACCTTCTGACATGCCCAAGTTTGTGTTATTGCCTTTTCATGTATCCATGTGTTCTCACAATTCAGCTCCCATTTCTAAGTGAAAATATGCAGTATTGGGTTTTCTGTTTCTGCATTAGTTTGCTGAGCACAATGGCCTCCAGCTGCATACATGTCCCTGCAAAGAACATGATCCCATTTCTTTTTATGGCTGCATAGTATTCCATGGTATATATGTATCACATTTTCCTTATCCAGTCTGTCATTGATGGGCACTTGGGTTGATTCCATGTTTTTGCTATTGTGAATATTGCTGCAGTGATCATACTTGTGCATGTATATTTATAATATAATTATTTATATGTCTTTGGGTATATACCTGGTAATGGGATTGCTGGGTCAAATGGTATTTCTGTTTCTCGAACTTTGCAGAATTGCCACACTGTCTTTCACAATGGTTGAACTAATTTACATTCCCACCAACAGTGTAAAAGTGTTCCTATTTCTCCACAGCCTCTCCAGCATCTGTTGTTTCTTGATTTTTTAATAATCACCATTCTGACTGTTGTGAGATGGTATCTCATTGTGGTTTTGATTTGCATTTCTCTAATGATCAGTCACATTGAGTCTTTTTATAAGTTTATTGGCTTGAGGTTCATCTTCCTGAAGACTAGTGATTTTGAGCACTTTCTCATGTATCTGTTGGCCATTTGCATGTCTTCTTTTGAGAAATGTCTATCCAGGTCTTTGGCTAATTTGTAAATTAAGGTCTTTGGGCTTGCTGTTGTTTGTGAGTTGTTTGAGCTCAGTATGTATTTTGGGTATTAGCCCTGTATCAGCAGTATCACTTGCAAATACATTTTCTCACTCTAAAGGTTGTCTCTTTGCTCTGTTACTTATTTCCCTTTACATGCAGAAGCTTCTCAGTTGCATGCAATGCCATTTGTCTATATTTGCTTTGATTGCCTATGCTTCTGAAGATATATTTACAAAGTCCTTGCCTAGACAAATGCCATGGTGCTTTTTTCCTATGTTTTTTTCTAGTACTTTCATAGCTTCACATCCAACATTTAAGACTTTAACCCATTTTGAGGTAATTGTTTTATATGGTGAAAGGCAAGCGTGTACTTTTATTTCTCTGCATGTGGATATCCAGTTTTTCAAGCACCAATTATTGGAGAGTTTGTCTTTTTCTTATTGTGTGTACATGTCACCTTTGCTCAAAAGTCAGTTTTCTGTAGATGTGAGGATTTATTTGTGGACTCTGTATTCTGTTCCATTGGCCTATGTGTCTACTGTGTTGTTTTGGGGATTAAAGTTTTGCAATATGTTTGAAGTCAATTAGTGTGATGCCACCAGCTTTTTTTCATGATTGTTTGGCTATTTGAGGTCATTTGTGGTTCTGTACAAATTTTAGAATTTTTTTCAATTTCCGTGAAGAACGTCATTGGTATTTTGGTAAGAATAAAATTGGATCTGTAGTTTGCCTTGAGTAGTATGAACATTTTAGCAATATTAGTTTTTTTAATCCATAAACATAAAGTTTCTGTGTATATGTGTTTATTTCTTTTATCAGTATTTTGCAGTTTTGATTGTAGAAATATTTTACTTCCTTGGTTAAATTTATTTCTAGGTGTTTTACTTTTTTGGAGTTATTGTAAATGACATTGTTTTGTTTTTTTTTTTTTCAGAAAATTTGTGATTTGGTGTGTAGAAACACTCTTGATTTTTGTATATGGATTTTTTTATTCTGCAATTTTACTAGATTTCTAGAACACACAAGAGTTTACTCTCTATAAATAACTCTAAGAGAAATACATGAAGGAAACACTTCTGAAACGTCTCATTTCCTAGTTGACATTAACGTTCTCACAGTGAAGAGTTCCCCTGGCCTAGAGTCAATGTGGCAAAGCCTTCTTCTGGAGCTCACATCAGAAAACTCAGGTATAGTATTAAAGTATTATTCAAAGGAAAGCAGAAGTGGCTAACCTAAGAATATGTAATGTAGACTTCAAAGGAAAGAAAATTACCAGAGACTTAAAAGAAGAAGATATAATGATAAAATAATCAATCTATCTAGAAGACATAATGTAAAATATTTATGCACCAAACAACACAGCTGCAAAATTAGGAAAGTGAAAAAGTGATAGTACTGAAAGAAGAATTAGATAAATAGTACTCAGCAATAAATAGGAATACATTTTGATACACAGAAGCAACTTGGAAAAATCTTCAAGAAATTACACTGAGAAAAAAAAAAGTCAATCACAGAACTTTCCATATTTTCCTGGAAAGATAAATTTGTGAAAATAGAGAAGAAATTAGCAGTCGCAAACTATTAGGTCTGGAGTAAGTATGGTAGGCAACATGGGAGTGAGTTTGGTTATAACAGGGCAAGAGGAGATATTCTAGTGCTGGAACTGCTCACTCTCCAAGTAATATCTACAATATGGCAGATATGGGAACTCTGGACCAACCTTCCTCTGACACACACACTGATTAGCAAAAATTAACCCTCAAATTCTATTGCTGAGAATTACAAATTAGTTGAAATACTCCCCTGTACTCTGGAAGAACTAATAGAGTTTTTGTTGGGTTCTTGGGGTTTCTATATATAAGATTATGATGTCTGCAGACAAGAATAATTTTGACCTCTTTTTAAAAATCAATTTGGATGCTCTGAATTTGGTGATATGTATATGTTCTTTATTACGTTGAAATATGTTCTATCTACACCTAATTTGGTGTTTAATTAATTTGCTAGCTGTGATTTTGTTATATATGTTCTTTATTGTGTTGAACTATGTTCTTTCTATACCTAATTTTTTGTTATTATGTTGAAATATGTTTCTTCTATACCAATTTGTTGAGGAAATTTGATATGTTAAATTTTATCAATTTTTCTGCATCTATCAAAATAATCCTATTGTTTTCATCTTTCATTCTGTTTATGTGATGTATCATTTTTATTGGCTTGCATATTGGGAACTATCTTTGCATCTCTTAGATGAATTCTTGAATTTCTTAGCCCTTGCAAAATTACTTTTTTATATGGATTCTTGCAAACTTGATGTTTCTATGGGAAGATAGTCACTGTACAGTCGTATTTTGCCAAGTTGCGTCACCCCTTTCTCTCTTAAAGATTATTTCCAAACGTGCCCTTCTAGAACTGACTCTCATGTATATAAGAATAAAGGCTTTTAATGTTAAATATTTGGGCTCCAGTGGATTTATGTTTTGGAAGATAAATTTCTCTAGGCAAGGAAAAAGAAACAGCCATGGTGTTCATATAAAGGAGATGGGGGAGGACAGCCTTGCCACTGTTCTCAGGTGTCCAATGTTAATTTTTTTTACCCTGAACTCCAGCTCACCCCACTCACACCTGCTGGGAAGTGGACACAGAGGAAGGAGCCGGGGTTGTTCACCATTTGGAAGTCAAGGGTGGTCTCAGGAGAGGAGAGGATCTTCAGGAAGACTCAGGTCTGTTAGAACAGCCAGGGAGCATTCATGCCACATGAATGCTGACATGGCAGTTCCCAGGTGTTTTCTGAGCATGAATTTCCCAAGAGGCTCACATGAAATGCTGCCCAAACCTCCTGGAAAACTGTGACCTTTCATCCTCTTCACAACGACACAATGGGCATTTGCATTTTCTGAAACAATGTGACCTTAGGATTAACTTAGGCCGTGTGATTTATTAATATTCAAGCAACTTGCATTTATAGAACATCTGGAAAGCATTGTATGTATGAATCTCAAATCTTAATTATGGTCCATGTTGCTTGCAACTCAGAAAAGTGAGGGAAGCATACTTTCTGTCTCTGTCAGACCCTGACAGCCAGAAACGTATTGCCTTCACTCTACCTTTCCACATGAAAGGAGTGCAGTTTGCTACACACTCAGTGCCATGCTTACTTCTGAAAGGTACCTTCTGCTGTCTTTCTCAGTGTCAGGTCACTGAAGGCATGCCTCAACTCTTTATTTCCTACCCAGCTAACTTTACCACCCATTTAATCACTTCCTTTATGAGGCCTCCTCCACTCCATGTCCCACCAACCTAGCCTCCCTCCTTCCCAGCCTGGATTGAGTGCCCTCCTCTATATTTATCTCTACCATTCAACAAACAAAAGTAAAGAAGTGCTTCTTTATTACTTGCTTGGATCTAGGCACTTAAATGTGCTTAATAAATACTTGGGAATAAATCTAAAACTAGTATGTTTGCTCTGTGAGCAGGAGTATTTTATTTTACTGGTAGTTATAGCTCTAGCACCATGCAAGCACATAGTAACTGCCCAATAAATACATTTGTTTGACAAATACTTATACATATTATATACACATACAACTCCTAATATTCTCATAAATCAAAATAATAGCTAGTTAAATAAATTCATTAGTACATTAATAGACATGATTGGAATAGGGAAAGGGGCTATTTCATTCTAGTCCACACTTGAAGATTCACAAATATGGTGGAAACTAAACAAACAATACACTCCCTTTAAATGCCTACAGTAAAAAAAAAAAAGACCTCCAATCAGTAACCTAACTTTATACCTAGAGTAATTAGAAAAAGAATAACTAAGCCAAAAGCTAGCAGAATAAAAGGACATAATAAAGATTAGAAATAAAATACAGATAAAAATAAAACAATGGAGACTAAAATAAAAGAGAAAATAGAAAAACAGTAGAGAGAATCAACCAAAACAAATGTTGACTCATTGGAGATTGGAAAAATTGGCAAATCTTTTAGCCACACTGAAAAAGACAAAAAGGGAGATGACAGAAATAACTAAAAAGAAATAAAAGTGCAGATATTATTTACAATCCTCAAAGAAACAAAAAGAATTAAAAGAGAATACCAAGAACACTCAAAAGTTAACAAATTAGATAACCCAGATAAACAAATTTCCAGAAACGTAAAATTTGTCTACACTGACTCAAGAAGAATTGGAAAATCTCAAAATACCTATAACAAGTAAGAGATTGAATCATTCATCAAAAACTTCAAACAGAAAAAGTGAACGAAGAGAGACTTTCACAAGTGAATTCTACCTAAAATTTAAAGAAGAATTGACATCAATTCTTCTCAAATTCTTCAAAAAAAGAGGGAATATTTTCTAATGTATTCTAATAAGCCAGCATTATTATCCCAAATATATTAGCCAAATAAAGAAATGACAAGAAAAAAATTACAGACCCACAGCCCCTAAGAATAGAGATACCAGACTACACATATGGACACACACACATGCACACACAAATACAAGCAAGATATATCTAACAGTATATTAAGAGGATTATACATCATGGCCAAGTGGGACTTATCTTAGAAATTCTAGTGAGGGTAAACATAAGAAAATCAAGTAATCTACCACATTAATGAAATAAAGGGAAAAACACATGATAATCTCAATTGCTGCAGAAGAGGCATTTGACAAAACGCAACTTTCATTTATGATAATGAGGAAAACAAGGAATAGAGTTTCCTCAACATGAAAAGTGCATTAGGGAAGAGTCCACAGCTTACAATTTAGACACTCATGAAAAAAAGCTTTCCTCTTAACATCAGGAACTAGACAAAGATAACCACTTTCACTAGCGCTATTTAACATTGTAGTGAAAGTTCTAGCCAAACAATTAAACAAGAAACAGAAATAAAGACATCCATTGTAAAGGAAGAAGTAAAACTATGTCTACTTACAGATGAGATAGTCCTAAAGATAGAACATCATAAATGATCAACAAGAAAGATGCTATAGCTAATAAACATTCAGTAAAGTTTTCGAGTACAAACTCAACACACAAAAATTGTTTGTGTTTCACACCTGCAAAGACAATCTAAAGAGGAAGTTAAGAAAACAATTCTATTTATGGTAGCAACTAAAAAAATACAATACTTAGAAATAAATTTAACCAAGAAGGTGTAAGACTTGTATAGTGAAAACTACAAAACATTGCTGAAATTTACTAAAGAAGCCATAAATAAATGAAATAGTATTTCATGCTCATGGTTTGGAAGATTTCAGGTTGTTAAGATGACAATGCCATTCAAAATCATGTACAGATTCAACACAATTCCTGTAAAAACTCATCATCACTTTTGCGGAAATGAAAACCTGATTCTAAAAGTCACATGGAATTATAAGGGGCCCTGGGTAGCCAAGATAATTTTTAACAAGAAAAACAAAGTCAGAGAACTCACAATTTCCAATCTCAAAACCAATACGTTTCTAATTAGAAAGCTACAGTAATCAAAACAATGTAGTCATAGCATATGTATAGACATAGAAAAATGGAATACAACTGACAGCCCTAAAATTATCTATGGTGAACTGATTTTTGACAAAAGTGTCAAATCCATTCGCTGGGAGAAATAACTAAATTTCCACATAAAAAATAAATGTATAGACTACCTTAAACCACATACAAAAATTAACTCAAAATGGATTAATAACCTAAATATAAGAGCTAAAACAATAAGATGTTTAGAAGAAAACATAAGGTAAACCTTTGATTTGGTGATGGATTCTCAGATATGATGTGAAATGCATGAGCAACAGAAGAAAAAATAAATTAAAAGTAGTTCGGCAGTATACCAAAAAGCTAAAAAAAAGTTACGCTTTATACAACAATTTAACTCATATGTATATACCCAAAATAATTGAAAATAGGGACTTGAACATATAATAATATGCTAATGTTCACTAAGGCATTATTCATGATAACCAAAAGTTGTACATGAACAGATGAATGAATAAATAAAATGCATGCAAAATAAACAAAATACAATGAAATATTATTCAGTCAGGAAAGAAAAAGTTTTGACACTTTCTACATATAGGCGAAACATGAAGCCACTATGGTAAGTAAAATAAGACAGACAAAAGAACAAATATTATCATAATGCTACTGACATGAAATACTTACAAAAGTCACATTTATAGAGAAAAAGTAGATCAGAAGTTACCACAGGCTGGTGAGAGAGGAAAATGAATACTTATTGCTTAATGATTATAGACTTTCTGTTTGGAGTTACGAAAAGGCTTTGGAAACAGACAGCAAAGATGGTTGCACAACATTGTGAGTGCAATTAATGGCACTGAATCGCATGTTATGTGTGTTTTACCATGATAGAAAAAAAAAGATATGGTCAAAATGTTTCAGCATCATTTGTTGAATTCCTGCAATTAATTTCTTTTTCTTTCTTTTATTTTTTAATTTTTTTTTTTCAGACAGAGTCTCACTCTGCTGCCCAGGCTGGAGGGCAGTGGCATCACCTTGGCTCACTGCAACCTCCACCTCTTGGCTTCAAGTGATCCTCCCACCTCAGCCTCCTGAGTAGCTGTGTCCATAGGCACAGGCCACCACACCTAGCTAATTTTTTGTATTTTTAGTAGAGACAAGGTTTCGCCATGAGCTCAAGCTATCTGCCCATCTCAGCCTCCCCAAAGGATGGGATTACAGGTGTGAATCACCAAGCCTGGCTCTGCACAGAATTTCTTTTGCACTTTTGTCAACAATCCATTTGGAATGTGTCTTCGTTCCAGCTGCCATAACAAAATACCACATACTGTGTGGCTTAAACAACAGTTATTTTCTCACAGGTCTGGGGGCTGGAAGTCTCGTATCAGGATACCAGCATGGCCAGGGGCAGGTGAGGGCCTCTTCTCAGCTTGCAGATGGTTACTGCATGTTCACGTGGCCTTTCCTCTGTGCATGCATGTGGAGAAAGAGCAAACTCTCATTTCCTATTCCTATAAGGCACTAATCTCATCTTAAGAGCCCGACTTTCATGAACTAATCTAACCTTAAGTACCTCCCAAAGGCTCCATCTCCAAACACCACCGTATTGAGGAAACAGACTCCAACATGTAAACTTGGGGGAGACACAAACATACAGTCTATAACAGCATAATTCTCAGTCAATTTCTAGGTTTCTCTATTCTTTTTCATTTTTCTATGTGTGGATTCCATGAACGTGTATATTTTAATACCCTGTTCTCCTATTGTAATTTTATACAGTGATCCCGCGTTAAGCAAGGGACATGCATTCCAAGACCCCCAGTGGATGCCTGAAACCTCATATAATATTGAGCCCTGTAAGTACTGTTTTTTTATATATACATTCCTATGGTAAAGTTTAATTTATGAATTAGGCATGGTACAGCCTATTAACAGCAATAACTCCTCAGAAAACAGAAAAATTATAGCAATACACCCGCATCACTACACTTGCACTTTAGGTCCATCATTAAGTAAAACAAAGGGTACTTGAACACAAGCACTGCGAAACCATGACAGTGCATCTGATAGCCAAGACAGCTACGAAGTGACTAGTGGGTGGGTAGCATATACAACCTTTGTATGCTGGACACAGGCTGATTCATGTCCCTGTTGGGGTGGAGTAGGAATGTGCAAAATTTCACCATGCTACTCAGAATAGCATGCAATTTAAAACATGAATTTTTTATTTCTGGAATTTCCTATTTAATATTTTTGAACTACAGTCGGCCTTAGGTAATTGAAACTGTGGAAAACAAACCTCAGGTAAGGGGGGACATGTTATAAGCCTTCACACTGGCTTACACCATACAATGAGTCCTCATACTATTCTTTCTTTTTTTCAATTATACTTTAAGTTTTAGGATACATGTGCACAATGTGCAGGTTTGTTACATATGTATACATGTGCCATGTTGGTGTGCTGCACCCATTAACTCATCATTTAGCATTAGGTATATCTCCTAATGCTATCCCTCCCCCCTCCCCCCACCCCACAGCAGGCCCCACTGTGTGATGTTCCCCTTCCTGTGTCCATGTGTTCTCATTGTTCAATTCCCACCTGTGAGTGAGAACATGCGGTGTTTGGTTTTCTGTCCTTGCGATAGTTTGCTGAGAATGATGGTTTCCAGCTTCATCCATGTCCCTACAAAGGACATGAACTCATCATTTTTTATGGCTGCATAGTATTCCATGGTGTATATATGCCACATTTTCTTAATCCAGTCTATCATTGTTGGACATTTGGGTTGGTTCCAAGTCTTTGCTATTGTGAATAGTGCCACAATAAACGTATGTGTGCATGTGTCTTTATACCAGCATGTTTTGTAATCCTTTGGGTATATACCCAGTAATGGGATGGCTGGGTCAAATGGTATTTCTAGTTCTAGATCCCTGAGGAGTCGCCACACTGACTTCCACAATGGTTGAACTAGTTTACAGTCCCACCAACAGTGTAAAACTGTTCCTATTTCTCCACATCCTCTCCAGCACCTGTTGTTTCCTGACTTTTTAATGATAGCCATTCTAACTGGTATGAGATGGTATCTCATTGTGGTTTTGATCTGCATTTCTCTGATGACCAGTGATGATGAGCATTTTTTCATGTGTCTTTTGGCTGCATAAATGTCTTCTTTTGAGAACTGTCTGTTCATATCCTTCACCCACTTTTTGATGGGGTTGTTTGTTTTTATCTATCTTGTAAATTTGTTGGAGTTCATTGTAGATTCTAGATATTAGCCCTTTGTCAGATGAGTAGATGGCAAAAATTTTCTCCCATTCTGTAGGTTGCCTGTTCACTCTGTTTATAGTTTCTTTTGCTGTGCAGAAGCTCTTTAGTTTAATTAGATACGATTTGTCAATTTTGGCTTTTGCTGCCATTGCTTTTGGTGTTTTAGAGATGAAGTCCTTGCCCATGCCTATGTCCTGAATGGTATTGCCTAGGTTTTCTTCTAGGGTTTTTATGGTTTTAGGTCTAACATTTAAGTCTTCAATCCATCTGGAATTAATTTTTGTTAAGGTGTAAGGAAGGGATCCAGTGCACACATCAGCAAATGTAAAAGAACAGAAATTATAACAAACTGTCTCTCAGACCACAGTGCAATCAAACTAGAACTCAGGATTAAGAAACTCACTCAAAACCGCTCAACTTCATGGAAACTGAACAGCCTGCTCCTGAATGACTACTGGGTATATAACGTAATGAAGGCAGAAATAAAGATGTTCTTTGAAACCAACAAGAACAAAGACACAACATACCAGAATCTCTGGGACACATTCAAAGCAGTGTGTAGAGGGAAATTTATAGCACTAAATGCCCACGAGAGAAAGCAGGAAAAATCTAAAATTGACACCCTAACATCACAATTAAAAGAACTAGATACTATTCTTTCTTTTAAAATTTTTTCAGATCTCTCTAGTTCCTTTGCCTGTTTATTCAAATTTTGAAATAAGGTTATTTTGGGCTAAAATACCTTATTGGGATTTTGACAGGAATGCCAATAAACCTATAAATCACATCGGTGAGAACTGACATATTTACCATGAGTCTTTCAATCCATCAAGAAACCACATATCTTCATTTTTTCACTTTTCTTTTCTTTCTTTCATCAGCATTTTGTAATTTTCAGCACAAAGGTCCTATACATATTTTGTTTAATTTATATGAAAATATTTCATTTTCTATGGAATTATTATTAGTGGTTTTTTGTTTTTAATTTGGATTTCCATTCCTACATTGTTAGTGGAGAGAGATGGATTGATTATATATGTGTTTATCTTGGATTCTGAAACTTTGTGGAAAGCATTCACTGGTTCTGGGAGGTTTTGTTTTGTAAAATTCCTTGGAATTTTATACAAATGAAATTATGTCATATGTAAATATGGACAGTTTTATTTATTCTCTCAATCTGTATGCCTTCCATCTCTTTTTCTTGCTTTATTGGGCTTCTTAGAAGTTACAGTACTATACTGAGTAGGAGTGGTGAGAGCAAACTTCTTAGCCTCCACCTCAATTTTACAGGGAAATTATTCAGTCTCTTACCAGCCAGTCTAATATTTGCTGTAGATATTTTGTAGATATTCATTTATCAAGTAGAGAAGTTCCTCTCTATTTCTAATTTGGCAAGTTTTTATCACAGATGGAAGTCGCATTTTATCAAACACTTTTTCTACACAAACTGATATATGATTTTTTCTTCTTTAGCCTATGGTGGATTAATTACGTGGATTGATTCTTGAATGTTGAACCATTTTGCTTGCATGCCTCAAGTAAATCCCACTTGGTCAGGGTGTATGATAATTTTTACACGTGACTACTTTCTATTTATGAGTATTTTGGTAAGGCTTTTTGCTACTAAATATATAGGAGACATAGGCCTGTAGTTTTGTTATGATTTTTATACTGTCTTTCTATGGTTTTGGTGTAAAAATAATTTTAACAATATGTTCTGAAAACACTGAAATCATCTTGAATTCCTTATTAAATGTTTGATAGAATTTTCCAGCAAAGACTGCAAACTTCTTGGGCTAGGAGATAGCTTTTTTCAGTGAGATAATTAAAATTTAATTTCTTTAGCTTGAATTAACCATATCAACCTCTATGACAATTTATGAATCATTCAAATAATCTGTGTCACCCTGATTGAATTTTGATAGTCTGTGGTTTCTGAAGAATTGGTACATTTCTTCTAAGTTGCAACTTTATGAACACAAAGTTGTTGATGATATTCAATTATTATCCTGTTAATGGATGTTAGCATGATATTCCTTGTTTCTTTCCTGATATTGGTGATTTGTCTTCTCCTTTTATATTTTTGTCAATATTGCTGGAGGTTTACCAATTTTATTTTTTTAAATGAAGATTGTGTTTCATTAGGTTTATCTAGTGTTTTCCCATTTTACTGATTTCTGCTCTTAGCTTATAAAATTTTCTTTCCTCTCCTTGCAGAGGTTTTATTTTGTTCTTTTCTGTTTTCTTTTTTTGTTGTTGTTTTACCACTTATTAGGTCACTTATTAGGTGCCCACTGCCAGCCAGACACTGAGCTGGATGCTTGTAGGACACATGCGCATATACCTCACAACAGTGCTTTGAGGTAGAGATGATTCCTGCTGAACAATCCAGAAATCTGAGTCTCCCTGGTGACATACCCTGTTCACACACCTAGTCAGATGGTGGCATCCAGGACTACATTCAGTTCTTTTTGACTCCAGTTTCAATCCAACTCCTGATTCCATCATTTTAGAAAATACAAAAGGTTTGATCCCAATTCACAGAGTCCATTGAATACTTTTCCTGGTTTTGATTCTTATGCTGTCACCCCTATAATCACTTTTGGAGTTTAGAAACAGTATAATATAGTTAAAAATTAATTTTGATGTACAGTTCGGAGTTAAGCAAATCAGTACACATGTTCTGTTTGGTTCAGGGCCCCTTTATATCTAGGTTCCTGGTGTGGCAGTAACAGTTCTACTAATGGCCCACTCAGTACTTCTAGCTCTCCCTGCCTACCCCCCGGTTCTGCACATGCCTGGGACCTGCCAGTGTGGCTGGGACTTGCTGTGGCTCAGGCAGGTTAAAACATAAGGCAAGAGAAAGAGGTGCTCATGGCAATGAAATAAGAAAAGGAAAAACAGACGTGAGTAATTCTCCCACAAAGGCTAGTCAGCAAACACACATAAACTCTTTTCATTTCTCTCAACCAAGAATCCTTAGTCTTCCTACCTCTATGGGGTGCTCAAATTAGGCTCTACCCAGGCAAGCACAGGACTTTCTGTGTCTGGAAGTGAAAGTGCCAAGCCTTGCCATGGTCACCCATCGGGGAGCAGGGGCCAATGGTTCCGGGACATCAGAGGCCACCCTTCTAAACTGCCTCATCTTAAAGTACAGAAAACTGAGGCTGAAAGAAGGAAGCCAATTGCCAACATATTATAGAGCTACCAATCCCAAAGAAAGATGAAAGAAACCTGGCAAAGTAAATTTGAGTTTCCAAATCACCACAAGTGTAAAAGTCAACAGGCAGGCACAAAAACTAATATCTTATCACAGAACTTGAAGTGCAACTCTCTCTTCAATTATTAGGAAACCCTAGCTCAGGGATCTAAATCTATCATGTACCTGTTGACAATTTCTTTTCCCCATTAACACTTACTCTAGCCAAATATCCCTCCTCAGAGATGGAGTCCAAAGCTGGGTTCTAGGGGACAGAGAGAGGCCCCTGTGAGCTTGCGCCACGAACCTGCGCGGCAGGTCAAGGCTGTGTCCTGCCATGGCCCTTCTTGCTCTCTGGTAAATAGCAGCCTCCTCCACCTCAGCGCACACCCAAGACTGGGAATGACTGGGATCCCATCTGATGGAGGGTCCAGGGTGGACATGTAAGATATTTTTTAAAAAAGTTTATTCTTCTCATCTTTTCCCTCTGCCTAATAGCCATACAATCTACACACTAGCTCCTCTAGAGAAGTCTGCACAGTGAGGACTGACTCTACATGCTCCCAGCATTTAGGGGCTTACTGTAAAGCCAACCCAGGAATTCAGGGCGTTTCACTGCAGATGGTCAGTTGACTTTGGAAGCTATTCAACAGGTGTGACCATGGCACAATGACCCAGAAACAGATATCTCTCACCCTTCCTCTGTTCAAAAACCTGGAATCCTGAAATGGCAGGGCAAATACAATATTTTTACCTCTTCATTTCTATTCTTAAGTTTCACCACTCCAAAAAATATAAAATAATCTTTCATGAAATTAACTCCACTTAATTGCTCTCAGAACTTTAACTGCTATATGCCTTGGTTTGGAACGCAGTGTTTGAAATATTTGAGGTTGTTCTAATTCTGCAAAATGAAAAGGGAAGCTAGGCAAATACTGAAACTTGCAAACACAATCTCTCATTATTTTGCTGAATAAATTGTGTAAATTTAAAACAGAAAAGACACAGCACTCTCTGCCTAGGCCAAGTAACAGTTTTCATTGCTTATTGAGAGTGCACACAAGCCTGCAGGGCTTGGACTGTCTCCAGATCCCAGCCAATATCTTCAAGTCTTAAATGTTGCAGAAGTGCAAGGGATCTCCCAGGCACACTATTGGCCTTTGCCTGTGGAGGTCCATGGCCACTATCTTCTTGGAGTAGCTGTAGTTGCAGATCTTAGTTCCATTCTTAAAGTGGCAAACCTTTAGCTTCCTTGGAGCTTTGAGGCTCAAAATGGCCACTAAGGTGCTTGAGAACAATTTTATACAATGGAGGCATCTTCAGTATCAGTGCATTCAGAGATCTGCTCCAACAGAAGAAGAGAGAAAATTTTTTTTGTTTGTTTGTTTTTTTTTTTTTTTTTTGAGGTAGAGTCTCGCTCTGTCGTCCAGGCTGGAGTGGAAGGGAGGAAGTTTTATAACTGGACTTACTACCCACAGCTAGTGACGTGTCCTTGTTATAGTTGGCACAACTGGCACCAGCTTCTGTTCTGGCTGCCTAGGTTCACGGCTTGGCACACAGGGGTTGCGATGCACTCAGGGTGTGCACCAACCACTCTCTATGTCTTGGTGCCTGCCACTGCCTCTCTGGGATCAGCCATGGCCTTGTCCCTTCCCTCCTTGTTTTTTTAGTTCTTGAGGTAGTAAATTAATTATCATTTTGAGGCCTTTTCTCTTTTCTGAGGTTAGCATTTAGTGCTGTTAATTTCCCTATTGGCAGGGCTTTAGTGGCCTCCCACATATATTGATGTTATCATTTTCATTCAGTTCCATGAATTTTAAAAACTGGCGGCTTTTTTTTCAATCGAGGCATTATTTAGAAGTCTGTTGTTTCATTTCCAAGTGGTTGGATATTTTGCTGTTGTCTTTTTACTACTAATATATAGTTTGATTCATTCAATTATGACCAGAAAACATACACAAAATAATTTCAGTTCTTTTAACACCTCAGTGATGAGGTTTGTTTATGGCCCAGGATATGGCTTATCTTTCTCAATAGTCCATGAGCGCTTGAGAAAAAGTATATTCTCTGCTGTTGGGCACTGTTCCATAAATGTTGCTTCTACCTTGTTGCTTGATGGTGCTCTCCTGTTCTGTATCTGCTAGTAATTTAACACCTAGTGATTCTACTAGTTGCTGAGAGTGAGGTGGTCAGACTTACAACTTTGTTATTTTATAATTAAAAATGTGCATATTTCTCCTTTCAGCTCAGTCAGTTTTAGTTTGTGTACTTTAGTGTTCTTTTGTTTGATGGGGACATATTTAGGATAACTTAATTTTTGTTGGATTGATGTTTTTATCATTATATAGTGATCTTTTTGTCCACTAATTTTCTTTGCTCTAAAGTTGTCTTTATGTGATATCAATGGGGCCACTCTTACTTTGATTTGATTAACGTTTGTATGTTGTATCTTTTTCTATTCTTTATCAACCTATGTTGTTAACCACCTTATGAGTTTTCTATAAATAACAAATTTTAGCATCATGTTTCTTGTTCTTTCCACTCTGTCAATTTGCATTTAAATTCATGTACTTTGATTATTTACATTTAAGATAAATATTGCTATGTTAGGCTGCTATTTTATTTGTTTTGTTTTCTCAGTTTTTCATTAATCTATTACCATTTTCTTATTGGTTATATTTTACATTTTTTAGATTCCATCTTGGTTTATTTATAGTGTTTCTAAGCACACTACTTTTTATCATTTTCTTAGTGGTAGTTCTAGATATTAAAGTGTACATATGTAACTTCTCACAGTCTATTAGTCAGCATTTTACCATTTCAAGTGAAATGTAGAAACTTTCATTCTACTTAGATCCCTTTACCATCCCCCATTTTTAAATAGAATTATGTTAAGTATTTCCTCTAAATACAGAGCATTTTTTTCCAAACATCAAATATGATTTCAAAAACTCCTGAGAAACAGATTCTATTACATTTATGACTGTTTTTGCCAACTTCCAATATTTTCTTTCCTGTGTTCTAAGCCTTCTTGTGTTATATTCTTTCTAGTTAGAGAAGTTTCTCTAGCAATCTTTTTAAACTTAGATTTGCTAGCAACATTTTCTCTTAGTTTTTCTGTCTGATAAGCTTTTCATTTCCCTTTGTTGATGAATATAGTTTCAAAAGACAGAGATTTTTTTATAGTTTTTTTCTTTCAGTACTTGAGAAAATGTCCTACCTCCTTCTGGCCACCATGAATTCAGATGAGAAATCCGCAATTCTTTTTTTGTAGGGAATGTGTTGTTTATCTCGGGCTACTCTGAAGATTTTGTTTTGTCTTTAGTTTTCAAAAATTTATTTATGATTTGCCTCCACCATGGATTTATTTGAAATTATCTTATTTGATGTTAGCTCAGATTCTTGAATGTGTAGTTTAACTTTTGCTAAATTTGGGAAATTTTCCACCATTATTTGTTCAAATATTTTAAATACCCCTCTCATTTCATTCTGGCACTTTGATATTACAAATGTTAGTTCTTTTGTTGTTGCCCCACTTTCTAAATATTGAGAGAATCAAACCTCATCTCATTCCCTCTGTGCCCTCCAGATTTGTCTAAGCCACCACAATCACTCAGGAGGAAAATCACCACAGCTCCTTAATGAGTTCTCTATGCATTTATGCCCTGCCTAATATTTTCTCAACAAAAGTGAGAAAGATCTCATACAAACATAAATCAAATGTTGCTCATTTGCTGAAAATCTACTACTAAATTAAGAATAAAATAAATTTACTGAATAAGGCTTATGATAGGCTCACCTTTGGAGTCTACTGCCTCCCTGACGTCACCTCCTGCCTCCTCTTGTCAACCCCTTCCCTTCACCCACTGTGACTTTTTTGTTATTCCTCAAAACCACCAAGCGCATTCCTCCTCATGCCTAGCAACTGCTGTTGCCCCTGCTGAAAAGAGGCAGAATCCTCATAGCTCACAGTCATTTCAGTCAAATTTCTGCTGGTCTGTTGAACTCAGTAAGGTTTCCCATGACTCTTCCTTAAAGAAGTTCATTCAGGCCGGGTGCAGTGGCTCCCGCCTGTAATCCCAGCACTTTGGGAGGCCGAGGTGGGCGGATCATGAGGTCAGTAGATCGAGACCATCCTGGCTAACATGGTGAAACACTGTCTCTACTAAAAAATACAAAAAAAAATAGCCAGGCGTGGTGGTGGGAGCCTGTAATCCCAGCCACTGAGGAGGTTGAGGCAGGAGAATGGGGTGAACCCTGGAGGCGGAGCTTGCAGTGAGCCAAGATTGCACCACCGCACTCCAGCCTGGGTGACAGAGCAAGACTCTGTCTCAAAAAATAAATAAATAAAAAGTTCATTCAATCTCATCTTGCTTTAATTTCTTTGGTAGCCTGTAAAACCACAGAACATTTAATGTACATAAACGTCTGTTTATATGTCTAGTGCTACTTCTATGTATTCACTTAGAGGCAAAAAATTATCAACTCTGCACAATATACCTGAAACTATTATAATTGCTGGAAATACCAAGATTGCTCCCCTTCTTGTATTCATGGAGCATATAATCTGGTAAGAAAATATATTTCAATGGTGAAAATACACAGAAGGTTGGCTAGTTCTATAAATAAGTAAGAACGTAGGTTCTGTTTGAGCTTCACTGAGGAAGCACAGCTGTTGGTTGAAGTATTACTATGCTGTGCCCTTCATAAGCACAGGGCCATGGTACAGGCAAAGGATGGGGCCTCCAACACATAAGAAATCAGCAAAAGGGAAAACAGCACAGGAGATAAGAATATGGCCTGGTGCTGTCATGAGACAAGGGCCAGAAAAGTATTCAGTGAATGGGCCACAGAGCAATTATAGACCAACAGTATCCAAACATTTGATCATTTACTATTTTTTAGAATCTTATTCAGCATAACGATTTATATTTACAAATTATAAAAATAAATAATAAATTCACTTATAAATTCTAATTTAATTCTTATTTGCATTTTGAAGTGAAGAAAACAGCCTAATATTTTACTTCATTGCAATACATATTCTGGGTTCTTTTCCTTTAATTCAGAGATGGTAAGAATGTGTAGAAAATGGAAAGATTTTTGAAATATTATACTTGAAATGTCAGTAGAGTGTATAAGAGAAGATATCCAGTTTGATTTTTCTGTACATCTTCTAAGTGTATGCCTCTTCTAGGGATCACCGCTATGGAAAATGGAGAGCAGAATGTGAGATGTGAACATAGAATGAAATTATGTTGCCAGATTTTTCTCTATAGAAGCAATTATCTTGAGAAAGGGAGGGGACAGATAAAGCATAAAACAAGACCATTTACATAAACCACTGTAGTTGAAACTGGGATGAAAATAGGGCACTAGCAATAGGAGACACACAGCAACAAAATGTGGGCACCAATTCATGGAGGGGAAAAGTGTTTCCTCAGGTGACCCTCATGAACAGTGGCCCAGATACTGCAGTCACAAAGTAAGCCAGGAAAATCAGGGAAAAATAGATGAAACAGTATTCCAGAAAGATAGGTCTTAAATATACTAAATTTGAAGCATAATATGGATATCAATAATGAAAATAAAGATTAGAGAGACATTTATAATTTAGTGGTGTTCAAGCCCATCAAGAGTGAATCAGAAGGTTGTGAGAGAACTGAGGAAAGAAAATAATCAAGAACAGAATCTGTGGGTAAATTGCCTTTTAACAGGTTTGGAAAAAGACTAAGCCATGAAAACCATGAGAACACTTTCTGAAATGTGGAAATAAAGGTAACAATAAATAGTTTTAAAAACCAAGAGATAGCCGAGCACAGTGGCTCACACCTGCAATCCCAGCACTTTGGGAGGCTGAGGCAGGTGGATCACTAGATCAGGTGTTCAAGGCCAGCCTGACCAATATGGTGATACCCCATTTCTACTACAAATACAAAAATTAGCTGGGCGTGTTGGCACATGCTTTTAATCCCAGCTACTCGGGAGGCTGAGGAAGGAGAATTGCTTGAGCCTGGGAGGGAAAGGAAAAAATAAATAAAAACAAGAGATGATCATATGATCATATTAGTAGATGCAGAAAAGCATGATAAAAAACTCTTGGCCACCTAGAAATAGAATGGAATTTTCTAAATGCTAAAAACAATGTTTACCTACAAATATCTACAGCAAACATCATGCTTAGTGGTGAAATATGGAAAGTTTTCAGCTAAAAAACTAAGACTGAGATAAGGATTCTTGTTATCTCCAATTTTATTCAATATTTTTAAAAGTTCTTCCAGTAATAAAGTAAACAATTATATACACAGAAAAATACAAATAGAAACATAGTTTTAGAGACATGTTACAAGTTCAATATAGCAAATTTTCAGTATTTCTAGTTAAGGCAGTGTGACACAGGTGTAAGGATTTTCAAATGCATGAACAGAACAAAAGAGAGAGTTCAGAAATAGATTTACATGTATACAGACACTTGATTCATGACAAAGTTGGTAGAAAAATAATAATTTCAATAAAGTGTTTTAGGTTTATTATATTGAGATTTATTGCCACCTTAAGTGTAAAGAGAATCCATCTTAGGCAAAAAATTTTTAGAAAGTGCCCTAAGAAGTTTTTCTTCATAACCTCAAAATAGGCAAAGACTTCTTAAACAGGACACAAATTATATTAATCGTGCTCTATTAAAATTAAGAACTCATCTTTATCAAAAGATAGAAAGAAAAAAAATGCAACCCCGAGTGGGAGAAGATATCCAGAATACATGTCAGACAAAGAATTCCTATTCCTAGCATAGAAAGAAATTTTTCCTTAACACAATATGAAATTGTCCCATTTGTACCTAGCATGAAGATAAATTATATAAACTAATTTAAAAAAACTAGGTGGTCTCAACAGCAAAACTGACAGCAAACATTTTGATAAAAACTATGAAAATCAGAAGACAGTGGGCAAATTTTAAACAGGTAATTCGTAAATGAGAAAATCAAAATGGAATGACATTTTAAAAAATTAAAAAGGCAACCAGAAAATTCTAAATCCTTCAAGGATACTCTTCTAAAGTAAATATATTTTCCAAATAAAGACTGAAAAAAAAACTGACAACAGCACACAACACACAACAAGAAATACTACAGGTCTTCATGTTGGAGAAAAATAATATTTGATGGAAAAACAAAATTTCAGGAGGAATGAAGAAACCTGAAAAGGAAATTCAATGCAACTACAGGAATTTCTATTAGATTCTGACAATCATAAAAATAAAGTATATCAGAACAATGGCCAAAATGGCAGTATAAGGGTAAATAAAGTTAAACTGTTTTGAGATTCTTAAACTGCCTGTGATGTAAAGTCCTGGTTCCTACATCCTAGTTTAAGGTAGACAAAAAAAAGTTAAAAACAAATACTGTAGTAACCAGAGGGAACACTACAAAAATACAAAATGGTAAACAAAGAAACTACTAGACATAAAATTGAAATTTACAAAATGACTGTCAAGTGGAAAATGGAAAAATAAGTTATAATATTTTTATGCAGTGAAATACTGTGTAACAATACAAGGAATGAACTACTAGTACACTTAACAAGACAAACGAATCTGACAGATTGAAAGAAAAAAGCCTGATGTAAAAATGTACACATTGATACTATGCATATGAGTTTCAACAATAGATGACAAAAGAGATGAAGTGTTTTTCTAGGTGAGATGAAAGGAAAAATTGACAATCAAAAGATCCTGATTATTTCTACCAAAGAAACTACAAAATACTGCTGAAAGAAATAAGAGATGACCAAATAAACGCAAAAATATTTTATGCTCATGGATTAAAAGAATCAACATTGTTAAAATATGACCATACAGTCCAAAGTAATTTACAAATTCAGTGCTATTTCTATCAAATCACCAACATCATGTGCACAGAATTAGAAAAAAAATTAAATTCATACAAAACAAAAAGAGACCGAATAACCATAGTAATCCCATATGAAAAAGACAAAGCTGGAGCCATCACATTGCCTAACTTCAAACTATACTATGAGACTGTTGCAAGCAAAAGAGCATGGTACTGGTACAAAACCAGACACGTAGTCAAATAAACTGAGTAGAGAACCCAGAAATAAAGCCACAAAACCACAATCTGCTAATTTTCAACAAAGTTTACAAAAACTAAGCAATGAAGAAAGGACACTCTATTCAATAAATGGTGCTGGGATAACAGTCTATCTATATGCAGAAGAATGAAACTGGACCCCTTCATATCACCATATATAAAAATTGACTCAATATGAGTTAAAGATTTAAATGTAAGACCGCAAATTATGAAAATCCTAGAAGAAAACCTAGGAAATACCTTTCTTGATATTGGCCCTGGAAAAGAATTTATGGCTGGGTCATCAAAAGCTATTGCAAGAATACAAAAATTGTTAAGTGGGGCCTATTTAAAATAAAGAGCTTCTACACAGCAAGAGAAAGTATTAAGGAAGTAAAAAGATGCCATACAGAATGGGAGAAAATATTCACAAACTATGTATCCAACAAAAGCCTCGTATCCAGAATCAAGAATGAACTTAAAGAAATCAACAACTAAAAAATAAATAACCCCATTAAAAAGTGGGCAAAGGACATCAACTGACACATGTCAAAAGAAGAGATGCATGCAGCCAACCATATTGAAAAGAATTATCATCATTAGTCATCAGAGAAATGCAAATCAAAACCTCAAAGATATAACATCTCACACCAGTCAGAGTGGATAGTATTAGAAAGTCCAAAAATAACAGGTGCAGGTGAGTTTGCAGAGAAAAAGGAACACTTTTACACTATTGGAAGGAGTGTAAATTAGTTCAATCATTGTGGACAACAGTGTGACTATTCCTCAAAGAGCTAAAAGCAGAACCATCATTTTACCCAGCAATCCCATTACTAGGTATATACCCAAAGGAATATAAATTGTTCTATCATAAACACACATGAATGCTTATGTTTATTGACCCACTATTCACAATAGCAAAGACATGGAACCAACTTAAATACCCATCAGTAGTTGACTAGATAAAGAAAATGTACTAGATATACACCATGGAATACTACGCAGCCAAAGAGAAAAAACAAAATCATCTCTTTTGCAGCAACATAGATGCAGCTGGAGACAATTATCCTAAGCAAACTAATGCAGATATGGAAAAACAAGTATCACATGTTCTCACAAGGGGGAACTAAACACTGAATACACATGAACATAAAGATGGAAAACATAGACACTGGGGACTATTAGAGGAGACAAGGCTGGGGGCAAGGAATGAAAAACTACCTATTGGGTACTATGCTCCTACCTGAGTGATGACTTCAGTCATACCCCAAACCTCAGCATCATGCAATATACCTTTGTAACAAACCTGCACAGGCCTCTTGATTCTGAATGAAAGTTGAAAAAGAAAATAAAAGATATTGATGAGAAAACATTGTTTAACATGCATATATTAATAAAGAAATACAGGCTCAACTGTAGTAATTAGTAATAAGTTGATAACCAGAACTATAAAGGAACACTCTACCAAATTAACAAAAAAGAAAAAAAATTGACCAGCAGCACAATAGAAACAGAAAAAAGTAGCTAAAAACTATGATGTAAAGTAAAACATACATCATATCAATGATGTTATATTCATATTATTGTAAACAAAACTGTTAAATGATGAGGAAGTAAGCTACAAAAGGATGTATGAGTGTGCTAAATTTTTTATCAATGACAGAAATATTTGATTTTATTTACTTATTTTCTTTTTTTTCTTTGAAACAATTTTATTTTTGTACAGGTGTGGTTTCCTTATGCTGCCCAGGCTCATGTCGGACTCCTGGCCTCAAGTGATCCTGTTGCCTTGGCCTGCCAAAATCCTGGGTTTCCAGGCATGAGCCCCCATGCCTAACATGAAATATTTAATTTTATAACAAAACCAGCATATGTTACTTACAAGAAAAGATAAAGAAAATCTGAAAACAGAAAAAATGGACAAATATTAAATATATGGCAGAAAATATAAGCAAAATTAAGTAGAATTGCCTATATTTACAATAGATAAGGTAACAATGAGGACCAAATAAATTAAATGACAAAAATAATTCTCCAAGGAGAAATCATTTATATATATATCTTTTGGGGCACAAAATATCAAGAGACAAACACATACAGAATGAACTATTATGAGGACCAGAATAGTTTGATTAAAGCACAATCACATATTAATAAAAATACAAGAGGTGGTCAGGTGCAGTGGCTCATACCTGTAATCCCAGCACTTTGGGAGGGCAAGGCAGGAGAGTGACCTGAGGTGAGGAGTTCAAAACTAGCCTGGCCAACATGGTCAAATCCTGCCTCTACTAAAAAATGCTAAAAGTAGTCAGGTGTGATGATGCTTTCCTGTAGTCCCAGTTACTCAGGAGGCTGAGGTGGGAGAATTGCTTGAACCCAGGAGGCAGAGGTTGCAGTGAGCCATGATTGTGTGACTGCACTCAAGCCTAAGTGACAGAGTAAGATCCTGTCTCAAAAAAAAAAAAAAAAATACAAGAGGTAATATAGCAGACAAGTTCTTCCTGACAATCACACAGACAGGTCTCCATATCACACCCGTTATACAGGCAGACTTCCACTGCATTTGCCTTAACATTAAGTTAATAATTAAACATAGGGAAATTGATGCCTGGTCACCAAAGCCAGAAAATAAAATATATGTTTGTTAACAGTTTTGCCCAGGCGTTTTCTGAAACTGGAGCAAGTCAAGGTAGTAAAGATAGCCCTATATTCCATGTACCAAGACCAATCTTGGGTCAAATAAATGTAATGGGGGTCTGAAGTAACTCTCCAGACCTTAGGTAAGATAAGACATAGAAGTAATCGACCCAGTACCAGGAGCCTCATAGATTAAGTAGATTTAGAATACATTTCTGGCCTCTGACCTTTCAGTTGGGACAAAAATTAATCACCTATAGACATAGGTAAATGTGTTAATGCATGTAGGCATATAGTTTAAATATATATAAGCGCTGGAAAGACTTTAGAATGCTAAGTTGGTCTGGTGAATTTTCTCTGGCCTCCTTCTTGTACTCAGTTATGTAACTAAACTTTCTTTTTTCCAGTTTGTCTGAATCTCATTATTGGACCACAGGAACATGCAGCCAGTTCTAGTTCCATGAGGGAACAATAGGAAAGTAAGAAAGACTATTATATAAAGGCCCACAGAAAATAGATGTTTTTTTAAAAGAAACTTTAAGAAAATGTTTCCTCAGTCAATGCCAATAAATAGTGGCCTAGATACTAGAGTCACAAAGTAAGCCAGATAAATCAGGGAAAAATAGATGATACACAGTATTCCAGTAAGATAGGTCATAAATATATTAATGTGATGCATACTATGGAGATCAATAATGAAGATAAGGATTTGAGAGACATTGATAATTTAGTGGTGTTCAAACACATCAAGAGTGAATCAGAAGGTTGTGAGAGAACTGAGGAAAGAAAATAATCAAGAATATAATCTGAGGGAAAATCATCTTTTAAATGGCTTAGAAAGAGAATAGGCCATGAAAACCATGAGGAAATTTTCTGAAATGAGGAAATAAAGATAATAATAAATAATTTGAAAAACCAAGATATGATCATGTAATCATATCTGTAGATACAGAAAAGAATGACAAAAAAATTCTTGGTTAACTAGAAATAAAAAGGAATTTGCTCCATGGTAAAAATGATGTCTACAAATACCTACAACAAACATCATGCTTAGTGGTGAAATATGGAAAGTGTTCCAGTTTAAAACTAGAACTAAGATAAGCATGCCTGCTATCTCCAATTTTATTCAATATTCCTTAGTGTTCTTACAGTATAAAGTAAAACAATTATGGACATGGAGAAATCAAACAAAAGCATTGATTTAGAAACAGGTTACAAATTCAATATAATAACTATTAACTATTTCTAATTAAGGTAGTGTGACACAGGTGTAAGGATTTTCAAATGCATGAACAGAACAGAAGAGAGAGTTCAGAAATTGATCCACATGTATATGGACACTTGATTCGTGACAAGGTTGGTAGAAGAAGAATAATTTCAATAAATGGTGCTAGTTATTTATAATGAGTATTTATGACTATCTTAAGTGGAAGCAAAATTTATCTTAGTGTATACATCTATACTTGAAAATTAAAGCAAAAAGTTTTAGAAAATGCCATAAGAAGTTTTTCTTCATGACTTAAGAAGAGGCCAAGATTTCTTAAACAGGACCCAAATTATATTAACCATACCCAACTAAAATTAAGAACTCATCTTTATCAAAAGATAGAAAAAATAAAAATGCAGCCCAGAGTGGGAGAAGATATTCAGAATACATATGTCAGACAAAGAATTCCTATTCCTACCACAGAAAGAAATTTATTTCTAACACCAAATGAAATTATCCCATTTGTCCCTAGCATAGAAATAAATTATATAAATTAATTAAAAATGTAGGCTGTCTTAACAGCAAAACTGACAGCAAACATTTCAATAGAATCTATGAAAGTCATAAGACAGTGGGAAAATATTGAACAGGTAATTTGTAAATGAGAAAATCAAAATGGAATGACATTTCAAAAAGGTATAAAAGCAACCAAGAAATTCTAAATCCTTCAAGGATACTCTTCTAAAATAAATATATTTTCCAAATACAGGCTGAAAAAAAAACCTGACAGCAGTGCACAACACAAAACAAGAAATACTATAGTTCTTCAAGTTGGAGGAAAATAATAGCTGATGGGAGCACAAAACTGCAGGATTAAATAAAGAAGCCTGAAAAGGAAATTCAATACAACCACAGTAATGTCTATTAGAATCTGACAGTCATAAAAATAAAGTGTATCAGAACAATGGCATAAAAGGCTTTATAAGGGTAAACAAAATTAAATTGTTTTATGATTCCTACACTGCCTGTGATGTAGAAAACTCCTAAAGTAGACAAAAATGAGGTAAAAATGAATACTGTAATAACCAGAATAAACATTACAATAATACAAAAATGATAAACAAAAACACTACTGGACATAAAATGTATAAAATGCCTGTCAAAAGGAAAATGGAGAAATAAGTTATAACATTTTAATGCAGTGAAATACTACGTTACAATACAATACAATACAATGAATGAACTACTGGTACACTTAACAAGGTGAATGAATCCAAAATATATTGAAAGAAAGAAGCCTGACATAAAAATGTACACAGTGATTCTATGCATATGAGTGTCAACAGGTGACAAAAGAGTTGAAGTTCTTTTCTAGGTGGGATGAAAGGAGAAATGGACAATCAGTAGATCTTAATGATTTCTACCAAAGAAACTACAAAACACTGCTGAAAGAAATGAGATGACACAAGTAAATGCAAAAATATTTCACGCTTATCAATTAGAAGAATGAACATTCTTAAAATATGGCCACAGTGTCCAAAGAAATTTACAAATTCAATGCTATTCCTATCAAATTACCAATGTCATTTTTTTTCATAGAATTAGAAAAAATATTCTAAAATTTATACAAAACAAAAAGAGCCCAAATAGCCATAGTAATCCTAAATGAGAAGGACAAAGCTGGAGCCATCACATTGCCTAACTTCAAACTATACTATGTGACAGTAATAACCAAAACAGCAATAACCAAAACAGCATGGCACTTTTACAAAAACAGACACATAGGCAAATAAAACAGAGTAGAGAACCCAGCAGTAAAGCCACACATATACAATCAGTTGATCTTCTATAAGGTTTAGAAAAACAAAGCAATGAAAAAATGTATTCAATAAATTGTGTTGGGATAACTGTCTAACTATATGCAGAAAAATGAAACTGGACCTTCATGTCACCATATATAAAAATCAACTCAATATGCATTAAAGATTTAAATGTAGGACCTCATCCTATAAAAATAAACCTAAGAGATACCATTCTTGACATTGGCCCTGGCAAATAATTTATGGCTAAGTAATCGAAAGCAATTGCAAGAAAACAAAAATTGATAAGTGGGACCTACTTAAAGAGCTTTTTCACAGCAAAAGAAACTAGTAAGAAAGTAAACAGATATCACACAGAATAGGAGAAAATATTCGCAAACTATGCATTTGACAAAAGCCTAATATCCAGAATCCAGAAGGAATTTAAAGAAATCAACAAGTAAAAAACAAATAACCCTGTTCAAAAGTGGGCAAAGGACATGAACAGACACTTCTCAAAAGAAGTCATGCATGTAGCCAACCAACATATTGAAAAGGCTTATCATCATTAGTCATCAGAGAAATGCAAATCAAAACCACAAAGGGATAACATCTCAAACTAGTCAGAATGGATAGTATTAGAAAGTCCAAAAATAACAGTGCTGGTGAGGTTGCAGAGAAAAAGGAACACTTTTACACTATTGGATAGAGTGTAAATTCGTTCAACCATTGTGGACAACAGTGTGGTAATTTCTCAAAGATCTAAAAACATAACCATCATTTGACCCAACAATCCCATTACCAGGTATATACCCAAAGGAATATGAATTGTTCTATCTTAAAGACACATGAATGCTTGTGTTCACTGACCCACTATTCACAATAGCAAAGACATGAAACCAACCTAAATACCCAACAGTATTTGACTGGATAAAGTAAATATACTACATATACAACATGGAATACTATACAGCCAAATAAAAAAAATCATGGCCTTTGCATCAACATAGATGCAGCTGGAAGCTGTTATCTAGCAAACTAATGCAGAAATAGAAAAAAAAATGACATGTTCTCACAAGTGGGAACTAAACATTGAGTACACTTGTATATAAAGAGGGGAAAAATAGACACTGGAAACTATTAGAAAGAAGAGACAAAGATGGGAACAAGGGCTGAAAAACTACCTATTAGGTACTATGCTCCTGCCTGAGTGATGAGTTCAGTCGTACCCTAAACCTAATCACCATGCAATATACCTTTGTAACAAACCTGCACGTGCCTCTTGATTCTGAATGAAAATTAAAAAAGAAAACAAAAGATATTGATGAGAAAACATTATTTAACATGTATATATTAATAAAGAAATACAGGCTCAATTGTGATAATTAATAAGTTGATAATCATAACTGTAAAGCAACACTCTACCAAATTTTTTTAAAAAATAAATTTGACCAGCAGCAAAGTAGAAACAGAAAAAGTAACTAAAGGCCGGGCACAGTGGCTCACGCCTGTAATCCCTACACTTTGGGAGGTCGAGGCAGGCAGATCACCTTAGGTCAGGAGTTCAAGAGCAGCCTGGCCACATGGTGAAATTCTGTCTCTAATAAAAATACAAAAATTAGCCAGCTTGGTGGTGCACTCCTGTAATTCCAGCTACTCTGGAGGCTGAGGCAGGAGAATCACTTGAACCTAGGAGGAGAGGTATCAAAGATGTAATACTAAGAGATGATTGTAAACAAAACTGTAAAATAAACAACAAAGAAGTAAGCTACAAGAGGATATAAGAATGTCTTAATTTTACATCAATGACATAAATACTTGATTTTATTCACTTGTTTTTCTGCTTTTCTTTAAAACAATTTTCTTTTGGTACAGACAGGGTCTCCTTATGTTGACCAGGGAGATCTCAAACTGCTGGCCTCAAGTTATCCTGTTGCCTTTGCCTGTGAAAACTTTGGGATTAAAGGTATTATCCACCATGCCTAGTCTAAAATATTTAATTTTAAAACAAAACCAGCGGTACATTACTGACAAAAAAAGGTAAAGGAAATCTGAAAATAAAGAAGATGACAGATATTAAATATGTGGCAGAAAATATAAGCAAAATTAAAGTAGGACTGCCTATATTTACAATAGATAAGATAACACTGAGGACCAAATAAATTAAATGACAAAGATAATTCTCCAAGGAGAAATCATTAATATATATCTTTTGGGGCACAAAATATCAAGAAACCAAACACATACAGAATAAGCTACTATTAGTGCAAGAATACTTTGATTAAAACACACTCACGTATTGATGAAAATACAAGAGGTGGCTGAGTGTGGTGGCCCATGCCTGTAATCCCAGCACTTCGGGAGGCCAAGGCCAGACACTTGTCTGAGGTCAGGAGTTCAAAACTAGCCTGACCAACATTGTGAAACCCAGTCTCTACTAAAAAATGCAAAATTGAGCCAGTTGTAATGGTGCATGACAGTAGTCCCAGCTACTCAGGAGGGTGAGGTGGGAGAATCGCTTGAACCCAGGATGTAGAGGATGCAGTGAGCCGTGATTTTGTGACTGCACTCAACTGAGACCAAGTTTCAGGAAACAAACAAGCAAACAACAAAACAAAACAAAAACAGAAAATACAAAAGGTAATATAGCAGACCAGTTCTTCCTGACAAGCACACAGACAGGCCTCCAAGGCACACCAGTTATACAGGTAAACTCCCACAGCATTCACCTTAACATTAGGTTAATCATTAAACCTAGGAAAATTGATGCCCAGACACCAAAGCCACAAATGAAACATATGTTCATTAAGAGCCTTGCCCAGGCTTCTCCTGAAACCTGGAGCAAGTCAAGATAATAAAGATAGCCTTACATTCTGTGTACCAAGACATATCTTAGGTCAAATAACTTTATTGGGGTTCTGAAGTAATTCTCCAGACCCATGCCTTAGGTAAGATAAGATAGAAGTAATCACCTTGGTACCAGGGCCCTCATAGATTAAGTAGATTTAGGGAACATTTGTAGCCTCTGATCTTTTAGTTAGGACAAAAATTAATCACTTATAGAAATAGGTACATGTTTTAATGCATGCAGGCATCTGGTTTAAATATATATCAACACTGGAAACAATTTAGAATCCTAAGTATGTCTGGTGAATTATCTCTGGCCTTCTCCTTGTACTCAGTTACAAAATAAACTTGCTTTTTCTTTTTTTTTTTTTTTTTTTTGTTTGTCTGAATCTCATTATTGGACCACAAGAGCATGCAGCCAGATCTGGTTCAGTCTGGGAACAGTAGGAATGTAAGAAATACTATTATATAAAAGCCCAGAGAAAATAGATGATTTTTTAAAGAAACTTCAAGAAACTACCAAAATTGATTTAGAAAACAATAGAACATTTGTCTAAAGACCAATAACCAGAAATATGATTTAATAATCTATTGAATATTTTGAAGATACACCATAGAAAAATCACCATGCCCATATTTTTTAGAATTAAAGTATAGCCACAATTAAGAAAAATGACAATTCATGTCATTTAAATATTCCATGTTGTATTGCATGGATGTTTGTCTTCCAAACTTTGCGTTTACATTTTATCCCCAATGTTGGAGATGGGGCCTCATGGGAGGTGTTTGCATCATGGAAAGGAAACCCTCATTAACAGATTAATCACCTCCCTGTGGTAGTGAGTGAGTGACTTTTCACTGTTTTTTTTTTTTTTTTCAGACAGAGTCTTACTTTGTCACCCACACTGGAGTGTAGTGGCATGATCTCAGGTCACTGCAGGCTTGACCTCCCAGGTTTAAGCAATCCTACTGCCTCAGTTCCCCAAGTAGCTGGGACTACAGGCATGTGCCACCATGCCTAGCTAATTCTTCGGTATTTTGGTACAGATGAGGTTTCTTCATATTGCCTAGGTTGGTCTCAAACTCCTGAGCTCAAAAACTCTGCAAGCCTTGGTCTCCCAAAGTGGTAGTATTAGGATTACAGGCATGAGCTACTGCACTTGGCTGACTTCTCACTCTTTTAGTTCCTGAGAGAGCTCATTGTTAAACAGAGCCTGACACCTCTCATCTCTCTTGCATCCTCTCCTGCCATGTGATCTCTGCACAGTGAGCTCTCTTTTGCCTTCTGCCCTGAGTGGAAGCAGCTGGAGGCCCTCACCAGATGCCCAATCCTTCACTTTTCCAGACATCAGCATTGCAAGCCAAATAAACCATTTTTTGTTATGTTATCCAGTTTCAGGTATTCCTTTACAGCAATACAAAATGGACTAAGATACATACCAGAAAAAAGATTTGTTAAGTGTAATAGACAATATTAAAGCAAATATTAGTCAAGAACAGTTCATATTTAATTTTGATGCAAATATTCTAAACAAAATGCTGATAAATCCAATCCATTATAGTCTATTAAGAGAGTAATTTAGTAACCAGAATATAGGCTGCGGAAAGGTAGAACGTTTTTTTCACAGTATGTGCTCCAAACACTTTAAAAAGTCCACACTAGGTATTCACCAAATATCTGCAGAATGAATGACATAATTTTTTTTTTCTAAAAACGAAAGTTTGAGTTAGACACTTGAGAGGCCCAGATATTGGAATTACATGACACAGACTTTAACAGAACTGTTGATTAAAATGATGAAGATAAAAAGATGCCAAAATGAAAAATTGCAAAAGAAAACTGAAAACTATAAGAAAGACCGAAGACAAGTGAGAAACATTAAGAGCAGTCAGAGGTAAATGACACATTACCTTCAAAAGCAAAAATGCATCCTAAAAATGCAACCCTCTCAAAATATACATACTTTTCAAATACACACAGATCATTTTTACCAAAATTGACTACAGTATGGGCCACAAAGATTTCAATAAATTTCAAAGGTTTGAATTCTTATAAAATGCATTCTTTTTGCACAGTGGAATTAAGATAGCAACCAGAAACAAAGAAAAGTTTAACTAGAAAAATACCTCAATGTGTAGAAATTAAGAGATACATTTCTAAGTGGAAGTTGGAGACTATTTTTAAATAAATTGTCAAAAATACAACATATCAAAACTTGTGAGATACGGCTAAATTCATGCTTAGAAAGAAATGAACCCTTAACAGCATGTATTAGATAAGGACTGTGAAAGAAAGGAAAACAATATTAAGTATCTTCTTTTGTAGAATAAAAGAGCAAATAACACCCAGAGTTAGTACATGAAAGGACATATTACAACCATGACATCAATGAATTAACATTTTTATAAAAACGTTGTAACTGAGTGAGTTAGAGAGAAAACGCCACACTTTGAGACAAATTCAGGAGTCCTTTGTTAGCCAGTGACCGAGAGATGGCTAACACACAAAATTCTCTCAGCCCTGAAGAAAGGGCTAGATTTTCTTTTATACTTTGGTTTAGAGAGGGGAAAGGGATTCTAGCTGTAGCAATCTTACAGAAGTAAAACAGACAAAAAAGTTAAAAATTAAAAGTTAACAGTTAAAAAATTACAGGAAAATAAAAGGTTCCAGGTGCAGGGGCTTTAAATTCATCACAAGGTGACAGGTATTGGGGCTCTGGGTGTTATCTGCCAGACACAAACACGGGCTTTATGGTACTATCTCCTGAGTGAATTCCTGGGAACTGTGGACATTGCCTACTTCAGTACCTTATCAGTTAATTGCACTCTTTGATATGTTGAGAGTCAACTTGCAGAAGTTAAGTCCTTGAGGAAGGGGGTGGGTAAGGAGCCTTTGATGCCTTGTAAATGAAGGAGCCAAATGGAGTCCCTCCAGTTTTCTCAGCTAAGGGAGAGTCTATTCATATTAAAACAAGGTTGGGTATTACATTCCCCACTTGTGATTTTGGGGAATCAAATCATTGATTCCTCAGTTATAACAAGGGGGTCATATTGGGGTTTAAGATACATAAGTTTGACAGAAGCTATGCGTTGCTTTACAAAGTTAAGAAACCAGTTGAATATACACTGCCCAAAGATTAAGCCTAACAGCAGGGGGAAAAGGTGTCCAGCTAACCCAGTGACTAGAGTGGTTAGCCATGGATTCCAGTTAAACATGCTTTGATACCAGGAGACATTATTTTCTCATTCTTGTTGGCATCTACCTAGATTTTCTGGAACCTTTTGGAGAGTATCCTTTATGACCCCAGATTGATTGGCATAGAAGCAACAACTTTCTCCTAGAGCTGTGCATAAACCTCCTTGGGAGAGGAATAGCAGATCTAAGCCCTTGGTGGTTTGAAGAACTACTTCAGTCAGACTCTACCTGGGTATGCAGTATATCTATGGCTGACTGCAGGTTGCTTAAATCAGCACCTACCTGTTGAGACAGGGACATTAGTCCAGTTTATTCCTGAACCAGGGCAGCTGTGCGGATGGCTGCTAAGGTCAGCCAAGAGGGGTACTAGGAGTGGGGTGGCTCGGTGAAACCTGGGATGCAATTCAGAGGGAGCGATGAGAAGTTGTCCTTCTGGCCCACTGTACATGTATACCTGGGGAAGCACATGAACTAACACACACAAGAGAGGTCCTGGTTCAGTCCCACTGATGCAGTGAGTGAGACCTGAAGTACAGGCTAAACAGATATTGTTAAGTGCCTGGTAGGAGACCGAGGTGCTTAAGGAAGTAAGCAGGGACTGATTATCAGTATCCTGAAAAGGAGAAGCAGATAAGTTATATCCAGTGCTAATTTGACAAGAAGCATTCCCAGACATGTCTCCTAGTGTGAGGGCATGGGGTCATGCATGACAAGAAAGAGGGCCACCTTTAAGCATTTCTTCTACTCCTAATCCCACATAATAAGGGGGTTTGGCCTTTAGGCATAGCCAACAATCTTGGACTAGTTTAGGCTGGGTGAGATTAAGGAGGTGATGTACCCCACCTAGAAAGGACATCAGGCTGGGTTGGAGGTGTTGTCATTGCAGCTGGGGTTTAGGAACCAGAAATGGTGGTGGAACAGTTAAATCGACCTTGTCTGGGTGTTTTTGGAACATAGGGTCGCCTAGATCAGTTAAAGGCCTAATTGGCTTAGGACGGCTCCATGAGACCAGGATTTTCTTCTGGACGGTGAACATAGTTCCAACATTAAATCCTGGGATATAAAGCCTTAATCCTCATGACATACCATAATACCATTGAGCTAAATTAGGGTTATGGATGGTTATAGTAAGAGGATTACAATTTTTTCAAGTACACAGTCTAGGACAGGAAGCACGAGCTATGGAAAGAGTTGAAGATCGGGTTGATCCCCCAGAGTAAGTGGCTAAAGTTACACATGTCCAGTCAGGGCAGAAAAAAACTGGTAAGTATCTCGACAACTAGAGTCAGGGTGATGCAGGACAGAGGTAAAAGTCAACATTTTGAAGTCCCTTCTCTGCACCTTTGGAGCTCCCACATCCAGTCTGGCTCCTGGAGTGTCCAAATCCTGCAGCAAGGTTGACATTCCCTGCTCCCATGACAGGCAGATTGCTTTGTTCTTCGTGGGTACAGGCAGGTTCTGGGAACAAAACACATAAATCGACTGCAAAAGAGACTTTCTTGGAGGTTCCTGCCTTCCAAGTAGTGTTTGCTGATACATGTCCTGTCATGAAAGAAGTGAGGAGAAAGGAATAGGAAGGCATGGAGGGCATAGCAGGTGGAAACAAACAAGAGAGGTAAATAAAAAGAATTAATCTAATGGCTTCACTCAACTTGGGCACAGTTTTAAGGGTCCTGGCCCATGCTTGCGGACCCATGTTTCCTGCTGGGCTTTGTTGGCCTTTTTGATGCAAGAGTGATTAATCCAAGCAGGAATGCCATCCACCTTCAGAGCTGTTGGTGTGGTGAGTGTGAGGTCCTTCCCAAGAAGGAGTGAGTCCTTCTTTCTCGAACTTTTTAATAAACACCAGGTCACCTGGCTGGAATGAGTGGCAGGGCCCTGTCTGGTCAGGAATTGGATTGGGATGAGCTCCCCGGACAAGTGGCTGGATGATATCTCTTACCTGTTGGAGAGACCATAGGTACTGTAATAAATTCGCTTGTGATATTTCTGCTAAATGGGTATCCCTTAGCTTAGGCAAGATAGGCAGAGCCCTCCCATACATGATTTCAAAAGGTGAAAACCCAGCCCAGTAAGGAGTGCATCTTACTCTAAGAAGGGCTAAAGGAAGGAGTCTTACCCAATTCTCACTGGTCTCTAAGATCAATTTTGCAAGAGTACTTTTTAGGTTGCATTTCATGAATTCTACCTGCCCAGAGCTCTGGGGTCGATAGGCACAATGGAACTTCCGTTGAATGTTTAATGCCTTATTGACTGATTGAGCTATGGATGAGGTGAAGGCCGGTCCATTATCAGACCCTATGGCAGCAGGCAGCCCATGTGGAGGGATGATTTCACTGAATAAAAACCTAACTACCATGATGGCAGTCTCGTTTTTGGTGGCAAATGCCTCCGTGCATCCAGAAAAACTGTCTACTAGTACCAGAAGGTATTTGTACCTAGCCCGGTGTGGTTTTATTTCTGTAAAGTCAATTTCTCACCTTTCTCCTGGCAAGTCTCCCCAGAGGCGGTTGCTTGAGCTCGGTTTAGGACCTTGCTTGGCGTTTACCTGAGCACAAGCCTTGCACTGGAGAGATGCTTGGTTCGCTAAGTTCTGAAGGTGGGGGATCTTGAAACAGCTTCTTAGGAGCTGGGTCAGTTTTACTCCTCCCAAATGGGTGGTAGAATGCAGGCGACCAATTAAAATTTCTCCAAGAGTTTGGGGTATGAAGATTCTTGAGTCAGGAAGAATCCACCAACTTTCCTGATTTTTACTGGCCTGGGGATCCGAAACCAGTTTTACTTCCTCTGCTGAGTATATTGGATGATCTTGTAGGTTAGACTGTGGAAAAGACACTGCAGGCAGTAAGATTAGAGGTGCGACTGGAAGCCGTGCTGCCTCCTGGGCTGCAGAATCTGCCCTCTGATTACCACGGGCAATGGCCATGTCTTCCCTTTGATGTCCTTTGCAGTGAATTACAGCCACCTGCTGAGGAATCCCTGTGGCTTCAAGCAGGGCTAGAATTTCTTCTTTGTTTTTGATAGTCTTTCCTGCTAAGGTAAGTAGCCCATGCTCTTGATAGATGGCTCTGTGCACATGCACAGTAGCAAAAGCATACCTACTGTCAGTGTAAATGTTAATATGTTTGTCCTTGCCCCATCGGAGAGCCTGTGTGAAGGCAACCAACTCAGCTCTCTGAGCTGAAGTGACCACTGGTAGAGCTTGGGCCCACAGAATATCAGTCTCCATAGTGATGGCCGCACCAGTCTTTTGAACTCCCTGCTCAAGGAAGCTGCTACCGTCTGTAAACATGGTGGCATCCACCTCCTTTAAAGGCACATCTTGGAGATCAGGTCAGCCAGTTTCTGTTGTCTCTAACAGTTCCTGGCAGTCATGGATAGGTGTGGTGAATTCTGGATCTGGGAGTAAAGTTGCTGGATTTAAACACCTTGTGGGAGAGAAAGTTAAATGAGGCTGATCTAATAGTAAAGTCTGATAATGTAAAATGCGAGTGTTTGACATCCATTTGCCAGAAGCACCTTGCAGCAAAGTCTCTATGGCATGAGGAGCTGTAAACTACTCCCCTATAAACCAGCCTTCCTTCCAGGGGAGCCCAGAGTGAGTCTGGCCCTCACCCAGTAGTGAAATAATCTCCCTGGAGCCTCCAAATGTTGTAGCTGAGCGAGTTAGAGAGAAAACACCACACTTTGAGACAAATTCAGGAGTCCTTTATTCACCAGTTTAGTTTAGAGAGACAGAGAGAAAGAGAGGGTGAGAGAGTGAGAGACTAGTCTTAATGGAGAGGCTGGCCTCATAGAAACCAAGACTATGTTCTCCAGTGTCCTGGAATACGGACAGAGTCAGAGAGAGACGCCCTCATCAGGGACAGTTCCTTCTCACCAAACCAGAACCAAAGGCACCTAACAGAAAACCAAGGCTCCCTTGTCCAGCTTCCTGGAATGCAGGCAGTGTCAAAGAGAGAGATGCCTTTGTGAGGGCCGCTTCCCTCTCACCAAACCAAACTCAGATCTGACTTACCTTCCTGGGACCAGAAGCTGAGGACTCAGACGTTGACTTTTGTGGGCACACACCGGTAGTCAATCCATTCTCCTCTGGAAGATGGTCGCCTGTGGGGACCTGGAACTTCTTCAGGTGACACCTCCCTATCTAAGCCAGCCACCCATCCAGGGGAGCCCAGAGTGAGCCTGGCCCTCATCCAGTAGTGAAATGATCTCCCTGGGGCCTCCAAATGTTGTAACTGAGTGAGTTAGAGAGAAAATGCCATACTTTGAGACAAATTCAGGAGTCCTTTATTTGCCAGCGACAGAGAGATGGCTAAGGCACAAAATTCTCTCCGCCCTGAAGAAGGGGCTAGATTTTCTTTTATACTTTAGTTTAGAGAGGGGAGGGGGATTCTAGCTGTAGCAATCTTACAGAAGTAAAACCGACAAAAAAGTAAAAAAGACAAATGGTTACAGGAAAACAAACAGTTCCAAGTGCAGGGGCTTTAAATTCATCACAAGGTGATAGGTGTGGGGGCTCTGGGTGTTATCTGCTAGACACAAATGCAGGGGCTTTATGGTACTATCTCCTGAGTGAATCCTGGGAACTGCAGACATTGCTTTCTTCAGTACCTTATCAGTTACTTGCACTCTTTGATATGTTGAGAGTCAGCTTGCAGAAGTTAAGTCCTTGAGGAAGGGGGTGGGTAAGGAGCACTTGATGTCTTGTAAATGAAGAAGCCAAATGGAGTCCCTACACTGTTCTCAGCTAAGGGAGAGCCTATTCATATTAAAACAAGGTTGGGTATTACAACATATTGGAGATAAAAAAGACAAAGACAAATCTGTTCCTTGAAAAATATGGTAGACCTGACAATGCTCAGACAAGTCTGATCAATATAGGGAAAGGAAAAAAAGGCCCACTTATTGATATCAGACATGAAAAATAAACATTCATATAGGTCCTGCCATCAATGAAAATATAGTGAAGATAGTATTAACAACTATGCCAATAAGATTGAAAACTTAGAAGAAAAGGTCACATTCCTAGAAAAATACAACTTTCCAAGACTTAGTTTTAAAAACATAAATCTAATGTCTCATATCTATTAATAAAACTGAAGCTATAATTTAAAGTCTTCCTCTGAAGAAAATTTCAAGCACAGATGACCTCATAAGTGAATAAGAAATATCACAAATATTAAACTCTCGGATTGAAAACTCTACATAAAAAACTTTAAAAATTGTAATGAAAAGCAAAAGAACATACAAACTCACGTTATTAATTCATTATAATCTTGACAAGGAAACCTTACAAAGAAGAAACTGAAAGGAAAATCAATCTTGGGACCCCACTCTCTTCTGCTAATAAGTAGTCTAGTGCTGGCCCATTTTGATAAATTGTTGCATGCATTTGGTTTTGTTGTTGCAAGAGCATTTCCAGGGCTGAAGTGGTTTGGTTAGTGATTGTCTATAGTACAGCCTATTCTCAAAATTATTCTATTTGCATATATCTGGGAGTGCCATAACCCCATGAACCATCCTCAGCCCAAGTGGCAGGGCTGTAATATTCGATGATCCATTGCAGAGGCCACTCATCCTCTTGCCATCTTTGCCTTCCTCCTACCTTTAAGGACCTTTTTTCCCTGTTTAGGTTATCATATACAGGGATTCCAAGAGTGTTGCCCACCTGCATTGGAAGTAAAAAGAATCCAGTTTTAATTGTACCTAGGAAGCAAGTACCTTGCCAGTGATAAGGTAACCAAGAGTAAGCCTGGGTTCCACATATCCAAAAGAATACTTCAGGACAATCTATTGTAGTCTGGTTTTCATAGGATTGTCCCATAGTGCACTTAAATGTGGGTATGTGGCTTAAGGGTTAGTGGTGTTTGTACAGTACCAGGCCTTTTCTGACAAGTCACAATTGAGGTAGCTTAAGTTAGAAGGAGACCACACTCTGTGGGGTAACCTTGGCCCCCAGTCTACTGTGGAGGCATTGACTGCTAGGGTTTGGTGACAGGGGCTTTCACCTATGGTGTGATGGGTTTCATCAGTTCACTTGTGGTATATGCACACCATCCCTCTTACTGGGTTGATAAGTATCCAGGACTGTGGGCATTCCTGAGTAGTGAGAATGACGCTGGGGTTTTGGGATGCTGGTAAGAGGGAATGTCTATCCCATACCACGGCCACTGTTGATTCATACGAGATCCCCACATATCCAGCAATTGGACACATTCATGGTAAATGTGATGTGTTCTCCTAGATCTGCAAACAGGTTTTTTCTGGGTTTAGGAAGGGATATGTCTGCTTGTAATTTTGTATAAAGGGATGGAAATACCACAGGTGATTTGGGCACAGGGGGGTGGTAGTTGTTTGTTTTGGCTTTTGCTTTGGCTATAATCTGTTTTCTCTTTATGTCCTTTAGCACTTGAGTGTTTACTCTCCGTCATCCAATTTTGTGGAGGGAAAGCCACCTCTTACCTTTTGGACATATAGCCCCTTTATGACTGCTAGATACTCCTAGATTTTTTACTTTATAATAACTTTTCCATGATTCAACACATTCCTCAATTAAGATTTCATAACAGAATTTTTCTATTTGAGTATGGTAAGTAAATGATTGTTGCATTTTTCCTCAATAGTGAAAAGACTGATAACACTCACGGCAACTCAGAGGAGCTGCTGTGGACCACAGGGCAGCTACTGACAATATTAGGATTGTGGTGAGGGATATTCCTGTACTAAGACTTTTGGTTGGAAGTCAGGTACAGCAAACGGTTGGGCAGATACAGGCCATTTCTGAAAGCAGGTGATTAGTCTGCCTTGTGTTTTGGTTCTAAGAAAAAAAATTTTTTGTTAATTTAAGCTTGGTAGGAGAAATTGGCCTAGATGACAACTCAGCTATTAATGTTTTGGAGGAAGAAGTAGCCTTGGGGGTGAGATTGACCCTGGTGTGATGGATCCAGTGGGGGAGTCCTTGGACTCTCACTGCATTGGGCATGCAGAGTATCAAAGTGTAGGGGCCTGCCCACTTTGGTTGTAGCTTTTCATGAGGGTCGGGTTGGCAGATAAACATGTCTGTGCCTGCAAGACAGTTATGTATAGAGGACAAAGAGATGACTATAGGGAGAGGCATGGCCTCATTTGCTGCTTCATGAATGAAAGACCATGTCTGGATTAAGACAGGGAGGTAATTACTGACTGGTTCAGAGTTTGGTAAGGGTGGAGGCCCTAAGACAAAAGTTTGGCCATACATGATTTCAAAGGGACTATAAATAGAGGGTGCATTTTGTGTTGCACAGAGTCTCATAAGGGTGAAAGGAAGATTTCCTGTCCATGATTGGTGGGTTTCTAGAGCCAGCTTGGTGAGTTTGGCTTTAAAGACAGAGTTGACTTTTTCAACATTACCTGAAGATTGAAGCCTGTAGGGTGTGTGGAGAACCCATTTTATTCCCAAGGATGTAGAGAAGTCTTGGGTAATTTGGCTGCTAAAGGAGGGCCCGTTATTGGACTGGATGGATGTTGGGAATCCAAAATGGGTAATTATATGCATGACGGGAATTTGTCTGACATTTGCACTTTCTGAAGTTGTTGTGAATGCTTCTACTCACCCAGAGAAAGTACAGACAAAGATTAGAAGATAGCAGAGCCATTTATCGGGTGGCATGTGAATGAAGTCTACTTGCCAATCTTGCCTGTGTACATGGACCCAGGCTTTGTGGGTAGGAAAATGCAGCAGCTGGAGGGAACCCTGGGGTGATGCTGGATGGCAGATAGAGCAGGACTGGGTAATTTCTTGAACACGGCTGGAAAGGTGAGAACAAATGAGAATATGGTGGAGAAGTTGCAAGAGAGGTTTGTAACCAACATGGAAAGAGTTGTGGAGGCTTTGGAGGATAGAGATTGTTTGAGAGTGAGGAAGAATGAAATGCCGTTTCTTGACATACCCATGGTCCTTGCTTTTGAAGGTTTTGGGCTTGGAAGTCCTTTTCTTCTGAGGAATAAAGAGGAGAGAATGAGGACAGGGACAGAAACTGGCCGTGCACAGGTTGTAGGGCTACCTTGTCTGCTAGAGCATTTCCGGCTGATATAGGATTGTCTGGAGTTTGGTGGCCCCTGCAATGAATGATGGCTACTTTCTGTGGGAGTCTGGCAGCTTGAAGGAGTTTGCTGATGAGAGAGCCATTTACGACAAGTATTTTTTTGTGTTTTTTTTTTTTTTTTTTGCAGTTAGGAAACCCCATTCTTTCCAGATGGATGAATGTGAGTGCACTATGTGGAATGCATAATGAGAATCTGAATATATGTTAATTCGTTGGCTGGCTGCTAGAGTGAGGGGGATGAGTTCAGCTTTTTGGGATGTGGATGCTAGGGGGAGCAGATTGGCTTCAATAGTGTGTGGAGTGACACTATATCGTAGCTAGCATGTTGGCCTCCTTGATGTAGGAAGGAACTGCCATCTCAAAACCAAGTAAAAGAGGCATCTGGAGGGTGCTGGTCTGTCAGGTTTGGAAAAGGTATAAGAAAGGTTTGAACAGTGTCTACACAGAAGTGTGCAGGGTCTTGGGAGCTAGTAGCTTCAAGTAAGAGTGTGGCCAGGTTTAAATGGGAGCTGGTTAGCAGGGTGATTTGGGGAGTTTCTGTGAATAAAGCATACAGTTGGAGGAGCTGTGAGGCAGAGATGAGACTAAGTACACTGCAGTGAGCTTACATGTCTTTGATGTTATGGGTTGAATAAACTGTTAGGTTGGCATGAAGAGATAGTTTTAGGCTTTCAAGGGTGAGGACAGCAGCTGCCACCAAAGCTTGGAATCAGGCAGGCCATCCTTGAACTGTGTTTTCAAGCTGTTTGGAGATGTAGATGATAACCTGGAGGGGAGGTCCCTTGGACTGAGCTAGAACACCTAGTGTAACTTCACGCCATTCATCAATATATAGAGAGAAAGGTTTGGGGTTTGGTGAGGTCTGGGAGAGTGAGGTTGGGGGCTGAGATGAGAGCCTTTTGGAGTAGATGGAAAGGTTGAGTAATAGGCTGTGCAGGGTTTAAAGGCTCATGGAGAGAGCCTTTAGCAGGTGGTATAATGGTTTGGCAATACAGCAAAGGAGGAAACACAGAGCCTAAAATATCCCACTAGTCTTAGAAAAGAGAGAATTCCTTGCTTAGTTAGCGGAGGCAGGAGGGACTGGAGGAGGGAAATGTGGTCAATTGTGAGCCCTTGGGATTATGGGGTAGGAACTAGGCCTAGGTCGGTGACTGAGGGGGTGCATATTTTTGTTTTTTTAGGGGAGACGTGGTAACCCTGCTCTGCCAGGAAGTTTAAAAGAGAGATAGTACGGGTGTTGCAGTCTTTTTGAGAAGGGCTACGCAGGAGCAAATCATCAACATATTAAAGGAGAATGGGCGGTTTTAGGAATGAGGTACAGAGGTCACGAGCAAGGGACTGTCCAAAAAGGTGGGGGCTGCTTCTAAAACCTTCAGTTAGTATGCACCAGGTGAGCTGATGTGAAAGGTGGGTGTCAGAGTCTTCTCGCATAAAGGCAAAGAGGTCTTGAGAATCAGGATGCAAAAGAATTGTGAAAAAAGCATCCTTTAGGTCTAGGACAGAAAAATGGGTGGTATTGGAGGGAATTGAGGAAATTAAAGTGTGTGGGTTAGGAACTACTGGACATACTGGGTGTACAGCTTGGTTAATGAGCCTGAGGTCCTGGACTAAGAAATAAGTTTCATCTGGCTTTTTAAGAGGTAGAATTTGTGTGTTAAAAGGGGAGTTTGTTGGGCAGAGTAGGTGACTGGTGAGGAGGCGAGAAATGATAGGCTTTAGTCCTACAAGAGCTGCTTGGGGAATTTGATACTGCTTCTGTGATAGGAACTGGGTTGGGTTTTTAAGGATAATGCGGAAGGGGGTGTGGTGTTTTGTGACTGAGGGTGTGGAAGTATCCCAAACAGTGGAGTTAACTACAAATAGGGGATAAGGAAATGTTGCATGTTTTAGGGTGGGAGGTTGGAGGAGTAGAAGAAAGCTAGAAGCACCAGAGGTGTCTAGGTGGATGTGTTAGGTACCATGGTCAACATGGAAGTGGAGAGTAGTGTGGAGTTTTGAAAGGGTGTCTCTGCCTGGGAGCTGAGTTGGGCATGACGGCAGGACTAAGAAAAAGTGAGTGGAGGAAACGATGTGAAGGGAGCAGAAGATGGAGGGGAGGCTCAGGGCTTGGAGACTTGTCCATCAATTCCCACAACAGAGACTTGGGAGGACTGGGTGCGTCCTGAAAAATTAGGTAAAACAGAGTAGGTTGCCGCGGTATGAATTTAAAAACCTGCTGGCCTACCTGCAACCATCAGGATTATCCTTGGCTCGAATGAAGAGATGGTAGTTGCTGGGGTGTCTGTTCCAGGGCACCATCAGTCTTCAGCAGCAAGGCCGATGAGATCCGAGTAGGAGGTTTTGGCTGACTCAGGAAGGGATGAGGGCAGTCCTTGCATAGGGCATTCACCCTCTGACTTCCAGTGGGGTCCTCTGCAGAGGGGGCATGACCTGATGGGCTTACCTGGGTTTGGGTATTGTGGGGACCAGTGGCCTTCATTGCTGCAATTGAAACAGGCGCCAGATGGAGGTGGATTACTAGGAGGCTTCTGTATGGAGCTGTGACCCCGTGGTCCTGCGGGGCCCATGATAGCAGAGGCAAGCATTTGAAATTCTCCCTGTTTTGGCCTTTTACATTCCTCATCACGATTGTTAAAGGCTAAATTAAGAAGGTCTCATTGTGGAGTTTGAGGTCCTTCGTCAAGCTTCTGAAGCTTGCATTGGACATCAGGGGTGGATTGGGAGATGGACCAAAGGTTTAAGGTAGTGGTTTCTTCTGGGCTGGCTGGGTCCAGGTTGGTATATTTTCCCATGGCTTCAATTAAACAAGAGAGAAAAGGAGCTTGGTTTTCGTCAGGATCTTGGGTGATTTCTGAAAGTTTTTCATAGTTTACCACTTTGTGGGCACCCGTTTTGAGTCCTGCAAGGAGATACACAATCATGTAGTCTTGATGGCAGTGTCCAGAGTCCCTGTCTTGATAATCCCAGTGGGGGTGCTTGTTGGGGACTGCCTCTGTGCCAGTAGGCTGGGTAGGAGCCTGGTGATAAATTGTATCAGCATGCAACTGAGCTAGGGTCCAGATACTGTCCCAGTCTGCTAGGGTGAGGGTGAAAGAGAGGATAATGTAGAGGTCATGCCAAGTTACTTCATAAGACTGGGTGAGGTACTGAAACTCTCTAATATAAGAGGTAGGGTCTTCTGGTCTTTTGTTAATTTGAGAGAGATCAGTGAGGGAGTAGGAAACATGAAAGCTAACAATACCTTCAGTTCCTGCTGCTTCCTGAAGAGGGCACTCTAGCGCAGGCTTTGAAGTAAGGGTGGAGCATGGGCCAAAAATGGTGCCTGAGTAAGTATGGGTGGGAGAGAAGGAACAACCTGGAAATGGTTCCTGTTAAGGGTTTAAAGGGAAAAAGGGGGTTGAGTTAATAGGCAGTGGAGGATAGATGGGGGTGTAAAGTGGCAGGGTGGGATTATCGGCCTAAGGAAAGGGTGATGGGGGAGGAGAATGGGTACAGGCAGCGCTAGAATTGTGCTGAGGAGAGGATGGTGTAGGAAAAGAAGTGGGTACTTTTGGAGGCACTGCTGGCTGGGAAGATGGTGACTGAGAAAGTGGTGGCTGAGAAGATGGTGACTGGGAACATGGCTGCTAGGAAGACAAAGAGGAGGCTTGCGGGGGTTAAAGAAGACAGTTGAGAGGGAGAGGTAGAGGTTGGGAGGGGTGGACAGCAGTCTGCTGGATTGAACGAGGAAAAAGACGTAAGGTGGGAGGAGAAAGGGGACTAGGGTGGTGGGAATGGGGGAGGAGAATTTTAACAGGTGAGCAAGAATTGCAGAAGCTGGGTTGTGACCTGAGTGTGAAAAAGACCTGGACATAAGGAATTTCTCCCCATTTTTCCAGTCGTCAGCAATAATTTCTTAAGTCAGTTAAAATTGTAAAGTTGAATGTTCCATTTGCAGGCACTTTGTACCCATTATTCAATTTGTACTGTGGCCAGATTGAATTAAAAAAAAAAAAAAGACAAGGAACTTAGGGCGGATATCTTGCCTGAGGCCTAAGGTTTGCAGGTTTTTATGAGGCAGCCTAGAGGGCTGTCCTTTGGAATGGAAGACTGGGGATTTCCCATGACAGAGGGTAGGCTTGGGAGAACAGGGAAAAGGAGATCATCCTGGACAGCCTGAGAGAGACGATAAAAGAAGTGATCATCACCGCTGCTTTTTTCATTCCCAGAATGGGATCAAATGGCTTAGAGGCATCCCCCTAAGACCAGATGATCAGCGAGTGCCTGGAACATGCCGAAGCCTTCTTGGACGAACGTTGGATTTTTGGACTGGTGAAATCAAGGAAGGCCATGCGGATTTTACTCTGTTAACCTGGGCTCCCAGGAAACATACCAGTAGGTGAGATCAGTGACCAATGTGCATGAACAGAGAGGTGACTGGAGGCTGAGGAGCTTCTTTTGTCTGGCTGCTGTGGCCTGCTTTCTGGGGTGGAAAGGTAGGTCTACAGGGGATGCAGACTGGAGCCCCTCCTGGGTTTTGGCACCAGGTGCAAGGCTCTTGTATTTGTTTGAACCCCGAGGATGTGCCAACAAACAACACAAGGCAGTGTGGAGCAACAGGCTGTTTTAATTAGCACCAGGGTGCAGATGGGCTGAGGCCTAAAATGGTATCAGCCCCAAGTGAGGATGGGGAAGAGGTTTTATAGTCTCCTGTAAACAGGAAATGTACTAGTCTGACATAACTGCTACATGGTACCCGGACAGCCTCTCTCTATCTCCAGGGGGTACGTGTCTTCTGGCAAGCTCTCTTCCTGCTTCTGCTATCTTGTAGACACACGCTGCTGGTGCAAGTGGCCTTGCACCTTAGGACTGAGCCTGAGGAGGGAGGAGTTATTCATGACCCCAAGCTTTCAGGCCCCAGGGAGAATCTTTCATTCCTATATATTTGGTTATAGAAAAAGGAAAAGGGACGACTTTCTCAACAACTACTTCAGGCTTGACATCGGGGGTGTCATGGGCACCTTGGAAAAAAGAAAAATTTAATTTTGGGAGTATTCTTGAGAGATGGGTTAGTATCCGTCATGTCGTTGTAGCAGAAGCATCGTCTGGATTGTAAGGCTCTTGTATCGGTTCAAACCTTGAGAGCATGCCAATAAACAACACAAGGCAGTGTGGAGAAACACGCTGTTTAATGAGTGCCTGGGTGTAGAAAGACTGCCTAAAATGGTGTCAGCCCAAAGTGATTATAGATCAGGGGTTTTATAGTCTTCTGTAAACAGGAAGTGTCCCAGTCTGACATAACTGCTACATGGTACCCAGACAGCCTCTCTCTCTTGATCCCCAGGGGGAACTTGTCTTCCAGCCAGCCCTGTTCCTGCTTCTGCTATCTTGCTGATGCACACTGCTGGTGCAGGTGGCCTTGCACCTTGGGACTGGGCCTGATGAGGGAGGAATTATTCATCCCCACAAGTTTTACAGGCCCCAGGGAGAATTTTTCAAAAATATAATTTAATTTGTCAATGAAATACTTATCAAAAAGAAAACTGAAATTTGTAAAATCAAACAAAAAGCCCTACATATTAATACATGGATTTGACAGCTAAAGTGGTCCTTAGAGAAAAATAGATATCCTTAAACACATACACTATAAAGTTTTAAAATGAACTCATCTTCAGCAAGAAAAAGTTGGAAAACAACCACCAATGATAGTTGAAAGAAGGAACAAAACTAAAAATGTAAGTTAATGAAATTTCAACATACTAAAATCAATGAAACAAAAGTTTGTTCCTTGAAAGACTAATTGAATATGTATCTGTGATAAAATTATCTTTAAAAAAACAAGGCAAAAATGAAAAATTATTACAAATAAACGGTGACAAAAGTGAGCATCTTAATAAGAGTATGGACAAGCTTAGGAAAAAAATATTATCACAATTGTGTAGACCATTAAAAGAAACACTTCTTGAACAAATGGGCTTGTGTTGGAACACAAAGCTCAGTCATTGAGAAATAAGGAGGGCAGGGAGGCCCCAAGTGGTGATGTGGGAGCACTGTTCCTGGAGTTGTGTGGAGCAAGGAAGTAGTGTGCTAGCCCCCGCCCAGGCCCTGGTCCTGGTGTCGTCTCATTCCCTTTCACAGCAGCATGTGCCAGGGCGGCCATGCAGCCCGGAGCAAGACAACCCAGAAAGATTCAGTTCACCCATGCTGCTTGGGCCGAACCTTGATCCCAGGCTGCGGAGCATATTCAGAGTTGCCCTACATCCCTGCCATTCTCTGCCACCCTCCTGCTCACCCATGACCTGTCATCCCCAGAACTAGATAAAGACGGCTCCCCATCCCACTTCTGAAGCCCACTTTGGGAGTGTCTGCACTTCAAGAGAAGACAACAAGAATCACACCCACCAGGAAACAGCTCCAAAGTAGGCTTGAACGTTGCATGGGACAACAGCAGCCAGGAGCGGAGCCCAAGGGAGCTGCTGTGAGCACAGGGGCCCTGGAGTACTGCCCAGCTGGGATCACAGACGCAACAGAGTTAATGCTGGGAACCTCTGGGACAGCACCAAAGCCCTCAGAAGCCATCCTTAAAGCTCAGGAGAGAGGCAGTAAGGACCCCAGCAGAGGAACCCACCACCCCTATACCACCATTGGGTTCTGAGGGAATCAACTCCATCTCAGAGAGAGGGAGTACCTTGGAATCAAGGTGGCAGTTTGAGAATTCATGGACACTGGATTTGTTTATTATTATTTTTCTTTTTTTTTCTTTCCCTTTTTTTCCCCAAAGTCTCGCTCTGTCACCAGGATGGAGTGCAGTGGTGGTCTCAGCTCACTGCAACCTCCGCCTTCCTGGTTCAAGCAATCCTCCTGCCTCAGGCTCCCGAGTAGCTGGGACTACAGGCACGCGACACCACACCCAGCTAATTTTTGTATTTTTAGTAGAGACAGGGCTTCACCATGTTGACCAGACTGGTTTTGATTTCCTGACCTCGTGACCCACCCACCTCGGCCTCCCAAAGTGCTGGGATTACAGATGTGAGTCCCTGCACCCAGCCGAATTTCTTCCAGTATACATGTATATAGGTAAAATGAGAAGATGAGTGGACAAAGGATGAAAGCTTGGAATGGAACTACAGGACAAAGGTTGAGGAGGACTTCAAGAAAGAGCTGTCAGAAGTGGACAAAGAAGACTCCAGGAGAGAACAATCAGCAGGGTACTGTGGCAGTTAGTCAAAGAATGCAACTACAGTTCAGTCACAAGAAATCTTTACCTGGACAGATTCCAAAAGTAGAAGGGAGGAACCAAGACTGTATACTATGAAATGTGACGGAGAAGCTCAGATACACTGATCATAAAATTTGACCTTAAACTGTCTGCTGTGCAGAATAAAGTGAAATAGTTATGGTGAGTTTATTATTGGCATGCTGGCCATTAATTCCTCTAAATGTGCTGATTTTATGCCATGATCAGATGAGACCATCAGAAAATGTACTGTTTAAACAATGTCTTGAACTCTTTTACTCTGACAGAGGAACATTTTGAGGCAATTGGCCACATTCATCTTAGACCTATCACTGGAACGTTTTTCACTATATGTCGTTATGTTAGGAGCAAAAAAGATGTTATCCAAGAAGTCTTTGAGTCCTTGTGCCTCCAGAGTAATCAGTCTGTCTGTATCCAAAGTACAGTGTCTCCCTTTCTGCCATGGTTATTGGAAACATTAGAGATATATTTGTAACTCAGCAAATTTATATGATCGATATCTAACAGTATAGTCCTGCTCCTCCTTCTCAGCATGGTTGTCTGGGCAAGGCAAAGGCAAGTCCAAAGTGGAGCAGAGATCTCACACCTGGAACTGGATTCTCACGGTGGCAAATGAGGTTCAGAGATGTCTCAGAGGCCATCTGGGGCGATTGCAAGCCTGAAAATGGTGTCCAGGAGTACTGCAGAGGGGAACTGTGGAATCTTCATGAAATCAAAGGAAAATCAAGGCTTGCCTGGGAGCACGAGAGGGCCTGTGCTGGAGTCCAAGCCGTGTTCAGGGATTCCTGCCAGAGGACACAAGAGCCTCTTGCAAAGTACAAACCACCTCAGGCCCCACAACGAGACCACTGCCCACAACCTAGCCTGCAGCCAGCCTACCCAAAGTCCCTTTTGCTTCCTGAAATCCCTGGCAGACAAGAAGATCAGTGGTGAGAAGCAGTCCCACCCAGGAACAGCTCAATGAAAGACTCCTTCTACAATAAGAAAGGACATGCAGATGAAATAAAACAGAGCCTAGATTACCAGGCAAAAGCCAGACATGGCTGGCTACTTCTCATCTTACAGGGAACATGCAGCCCTCTGATAGAAGAGGAAGAACAATAGTTTCCTTCTTGGATATAATGGGAATCCATGGTTCCAAAAGTATCACAGCTGCCCAGTCATTAAAACGTGACAGTGTTTAGAAGGAAACACTCATGCAATGGATCCTCCTGAGGGTCGTACTCTCTGAACTGGGAAATGTTTACTGTGGAAGACTTCGAGCCAGACCCAGGAAACCCTAGGCCCATGAGGAACATGGAAGTCAGGAAAAGAAAAGGCCAGTGTGGATTTCACAGCTCACCCAGCATCAATATATACTGCTCCCATGTGGCTCCAGGAATGAAGGCCCAAAGCCAGAACTAGCCAGAATGGACACAGTTTGTGCCACAACATTACCCATACATTGGAGTTTTTTTTTCCCTCGGCAGCAGGCCATGGTGTGGAAAGCTCGTGCAATTAAAGAAAGGCGGGAATAAAGTTAGAAGCACCTTCTGTGTCATCTGTCTGTACTTGTCTTGCAGGTGAAGTTGTAGGACCTTATCCACCGTTCACCAGATTTTATCCTCACCCCTCTCTGACCTTACTGCCACTTACATTCTCCATCCTGGAATGAAATCCAAGATGTTGGAGGAGTGTCTGCCTCACGACGTGAGGCACCTGCTCTGCTGTGAACCAAATTCAAAGTGGATTCAAGGGGCCATGCTGACAGGACTACTAGGGCCAGACTGAATAAAGAAATTGTTTAACTCTGAGAGATAAATCCACCCATCACAGACCTTTTTCATGGATAGCTAGTTTCTCGTTTTCATCACAGGATACTAGAATTTTCAATACAGGCCTCAATGGACTGCAAATGTCCCTTCATAGATTTTACAAAAAGAGTGTTTCCAACTGATTGAACCAAAAGAAAGATTTAACTCTGTGAGATGAAATCACACATCTCTCAAAGCGTTTTCATAGTTAGCTTGTTTCTAGTTTTTCTTGTGGGATATTTGGTTTTTCACTATAAGCCACAATGGGCTCTGAAATGTCCCTTTGTAGATTTTACAAAGAGTGTCTCTCCAAGGGTTGAATCAACACAAAGGTTTAAATCTGTGAGATGAATCCACACATCACAAAGCCTTCTCAAAGACAGCTTGTTTCTAGTTTTTATCGTGAGATATTTCGTTTTTCTCTAAAGGATTCAATGGACTTCAAAATCTCCCTTCATAGATTCTACAAAAAAAGTATTTCCAATGGCTGTATCAAAACAAAGGTTGAACTTCCTGAGATGAATCCAGACATTGCAAAGCATTTTCACACATACCTTGTTTCTAGTTAATAATGCAGGATATTCACTTTTTCACTACAGGCCTCAATGGGCTCAGAAATGTCCCTTCATAGATTCTACAAAAAACGTGTTTCTAATCGGCTGAATGAAAACAAAGGTTTAACTCTGTGTGATGAACCTACACATCACAAACCATTTTCACAGGTAGCTTGTTTCCAGTTTTTATTGCAGAATATTCGGCCTTTCCCAATAGGCCTCAATGGGATCTGAAATATCCCTTTGTATGTTCTACAAAAAGAATTTCTCCTACAAGCTGAATCAAAAGCAAGGTTTAACTCTGTGAGATGAATCCACATATTGTGAAGTGTTTTCGCAGATATCTTGATTCTAGTTTTTATTACAAAATATTGGGTTTTTCACGACAGGCCTCAATGGACTGTGAAATATCTTTTTGTAAATTTTACAAAGAGTGTTTCCAACCAGTTGAACCAAGACAAAGTTTTAAGTCAGTGAGATTAATCCAACAATTGCAAAGCATCTTCACAGATTGCTTGTTTCTTCTTTTTATCACAGGATATTTGGTTTTTCCCTACAGGTCTCATGGGCTCTGAAATGTTACTATGTACAACCTACAAAAACAGTGTTTCCAAAAAGTTGAATCAAAACAAAGGTTTAACTCAGTGAGATGAATACATATATCACACAGCATTTTCGCAGATAACTTGTTTCTTGTTTTTACCCTGAGATATTCAGTTTTTCATTATAGGCCTCAATGAGCTCTGAAATGTCCCTTTGCAGATTCTGCAAAAAGAGTGTGTCCAACCTGCTACATTAAAAGAAAATTTTAATTCTGTGAGATGAACCCACACATCACAAAGCATATTCACAGATAGCCTCTTTCTTATTTTTATTGTGGGATATTCAGTTTTTCACTATAGGCCTCAATGGGCTCTCAAATGTCAGTTCATAGGTTTCCAAAAAGAGTGGTTCCAACCTGCTGAATGAAAAGAATGGTTTAAGGCTGTGAGAAAAATCCACACATTGCAAAGCATTTTCATAGTTTCTTTCTATATTTATCATGGGATATTCAGTTTTTCACTTTTGGCCTCAATGGGCTCGAAAATGTCCCTTGGTAGATACTACAAAAATAAAGTTTTCAATCTGCTGAATGAAAAGAAAGTTTTAACTCTGCAAAATGAATCCACACATCACAAAGAATTTTCACAGATATTTTCTTTCCTGTTTTCATCGTGGAATATTCTTTTTTTTCTATAAACCATGTTGGGATTCGAAATGTCCCTGTATAGATTCTACAAAAAAAAAAAAAAAAAAAAAAGGTTTCCCACCTGCTGAATCAAAAGTGAGGTTTAACCCTGTGAGGTGAATTGGCACATTGCAATGCTTTTTCACAGACAGCTTCTTTCTAGTTTTTGTCGTGTGATATTTGGTTTTTCACTATAGGCCTCAATAAGCTCTGAAAGGCCCTTTTATAGATTATATTTTAAAAAGTGTCTACAACCTGCTAAATAATATTAAAAAGTTTAACCCAGTGAGATGAATCATACATCACAAAGTGTTTTCACAGAGAGTTTTTTGTAGTTTTTATAACAGGATATTCTGTTTTTCACTATAGACCTCAAAGGGCTCCAAAAAGTCCCTTTGTAGATTCTACAAAAAGTGTGTTTCCAACTTGCTGAATCAAAAAAAGTTTAACAATGATGATTAATCCACACATAGAGAAGCATTTTCACACATAGCTTCTTTCTAGTTTTTATTGTCGAATATTTAGTTTTTCAATTTAGGTCACAATGGGCTCTATAATGTCCCTTCGTAGGTACTACAAAAAGAGGGTTTCCAAACAGCTGACCAAAAAAAAAAAAAAAAAGGCTTAACTCTGTGATATGAATTGGTACATTGCAAAACATTTTCACAGACAGATTTTTACTAGTTTATGTAGTGGAATATTCAGATTGTCACTTTTGGCCTCAATTGGCTCTTAACTGTCCCTTTGTAGATTCTACCAAAAGTGTATACACAACCTGCTGAATAAATAAAAGGTGTACCTCTTTTAGAGGAATACACACACCAAAAAGTGTTTTCACAGATGTCTTCTTTCTAGTTTTCATTACAAGGTATTAGGTTTTTCTTTGTCAGCCTCAATGGGCTCTGAAATGACCCTTTGTAGATTCTACAAGAAGAGTGTTTCCAAACTGCTGAATCTAAAGAAGGGTTTAACTCTGTGAGATGAATCCACACATCACAAAGGAGTTTCACAGATAGCTTCTTTCTCATTTTTGTCTGGGGATGTTTGTTTTTTCACACATCACAAAGGAGTTTCAAAGATAGCTTCTTTCTCATTTTTATCTGGGGATATTTGGTTTTTCACTTTTGGCCTCAAAGGAATTTGAAATTTCCCCTGTTTCATTCTACAAAAAGAGGGTTTCCCACCTGCCAAATTAAAAGAAAGGTTTAATTCTGTGAGATGAATCCACATGTAACAAATCACTTTTAGAGAAAGCTTCTTTATAATTTTTATTGCAGGGTCTTTAGTTTTTCACTATAGACCTCAATGGGCTCTGAAATATCCCTTCCTAGATTCTAGAAAAAGAGTGTCTCCAAGCTGCTGAATAACGTCCCTTCATATTTTCTACAAAAAGATCATTTCCACCCAGCTGAATATAAAGAAGTTTTAACTCTGTGATATGAATCCACACATTGCAAAGCATTTTTACAGACAGCTTCTTATAAGAACTATTTCTTATAGTGGGATAATCAGTTTTTGACTATAAGCCTCAATTGGCTCCAAAATGTCCCTTTCTAGATTCTAGAAAATGTTTGGTTGCAACCTGCTGAATCATAACAAAGTTTTACCTTTGTTAGACGAATCCATACAACACAAAGCATTTTCACAAATATCTTTTTTATAGTTTTTGTTGTGGAATATTCAGTTTTTCAATTTAGGCCTCAATGGGCTTTGAAATATCCCTTAATATATTCTAAAAAGAGTGTTTCCAACCTGCTGACTCAAAAGAAAAGTTTAACCTTGTGCGATAAATCCACATATCTCAAAGTGTTTTCACAGAGAGCTTTCTTTTAGTGTTTATTTCAGGATATTCATTTTTTCAATATAGACCTCCATGGCCTCCAAAAAGCACCTTTGTAGATTCTACAAAACGAGTGTTTACAATCTGCTGAATCAAAAGAAAACTTTAAAACTGGAGATGAATCCACACATTGAGAAGCATTTTCCCTTGACAGCTTCCTTCTCATTTTTATTGTGGGATATTCTGTTTTTCAATTTAGGTTGCAATGGGTTCTGAAATGTCCCTTCATATTTGCTACAAAAAGATGATTTCCACCCAGCTTAATATAAAGAAGGTGTAACTCTGTGATATGAATCCACACATTGCAAAGCATTTTTACAGACAACTTCTTAATAGTTCTTATAGCGAAATAATCGATTTTTCACTATAGACCTCAAGTGGCTCCAAATGTCCTTTTGTAGATTCTAGAAAAAGTTTGGTTGCAACCTGCTGAATCAAAAGAAAGGTTTACCTCTGTTAGATGCATCCATATGTCACAAAGTATTTCCACAAATACCTTTTTTATAGTTTTTGTCATGAAATATTTAGTTTTTCAATTTAGGCCTCAATGTGCTATGAAATATTCCCTTGTAGATTCTACAAAAAGAGTGTTTCAACATGCTGAATGAAAAGAAAAGTTTAGCTCTGTGAGATGAATCCAGACATTGTAAAGCATTTACATAGATAACATCTTTCTACTTGTTCTCTCCCTGTATTTGGTTTTTATTACAGGTCTCAATGGGCTCTGAAATGTCCTTCCATAGAGTCTACAAAAAGAGTGTTTCCAACTTGCTGAATCAAAATAAAGATTTCACCTGGTGAGATGAATACACAGATTGCAAAGCTTTTCACAAAGATCTTCTTTCTAGTTTTTATCTGGGGATATCAGGTTTTTCACATTAGGCCTCATTGGGCTTTGAAATGGTCCCTCAGAGATTCTACAAAAAGAGTGTTTTTAACACGCGGATTCAAAAGAATGGTTTAATTCTATGAGATTAATCCACACATCATACAGAATTTTCACAGATGTCTTCTTTCTGGTTTTTAACACAAAATACTGTTTTTCAATGTAGGCCTCAATGGGCTCTGTAATGTCCCTTTTTTTAGATTCTATAAAAAGATTGTTTCCAACCTGCTAAGTGAAAAGAAAGGTTTAACTCTGTGAGAGGAATCCACACATCACAAAGTGTGTTCACAGATATCTTTTCTCATTTTTATCATGGGATATTTGGTTTTTCACTATAAGCCTCAAAAGGCTCTGGAATGTCCCTTTGTACATCTCCAAAAAGAGTGTTTCCAACCTGCTGAATGAAAAGAAAGGTTTAACTTTCGGAGATAAATCCACACATTGCAAAGAATTTTCACAGATAATTTCTTTCTAGTTTTTATCACAAGATGTTTGGTTTTTCACTTTTGGCCTTCATTTTGGGCTCCAAAATGTCCTTTGGAAGATTCTACAGAAAGACTGTTTTCAAATGGCTGAATTAAAACAAAATTTTAACACTATAAAATTATTCGACACATTTCAAAGACTTTTCATAGTTACATTCTTTGTGGTTCTTGTCACAGGATATTCGATTTTTCACCATAGATATTGATGGGATCCAAAATGTCTCTTCATAAGTTTCAGAAAAAGAGGGTTTCCAACCTACTGAATCAAAAGAAAGGTTTAATTCTATGAGATCCACACATCCACACATTTACAGACAGCTTCTTCCTAGTTTTTATCATGTGATATTCAGTTTTTCACTATAGGCCACAATAAACTTCAAAATGTCCTTTCATAGATTCTACAAAAAAGTGTTTCCAAGCTGCTGAATCAAAAAGAAAAAAAAAAAAGGTTCAACGAGGTGAGATGAAGCCACACATCACAAATTGTTTTCACTGACAGGTTTTTTAAAGTTTTTATTGCAAGATATTCAGTTTTTCCCTACAGACCAAAACGGGCTCTGAAAAGTCCCTTTGTAGATTCTACAAAAAGAGTGTTTTCAACCTCGTGAATGAAAAGAAAGGTTTAATTTTATAAGAATAATCCACATTTTGAAAAGCATTTTCACAGAAAGCTTCTATTTTTCATAGTGGGATATTGGTTTTTTCACTATAGGCCTCAATGAACTATGAAATATTTTTTTCATAGATTCTACAAAAGAGTGTTTCAACCTGCTGAATAAAAAGAAAGGTTTAACTCTGTGAGATGAATCCAGATATCTCAAAGCATTTTCACAGATAGGTTCTTCCTATTTGTTCACGCCCAATATTTTTTTTTTATTATAGGCATCAATGGGCTCTGAAGTGTCCCTTTGTGGATTCTACAAAAAGAGTGTTTCCAACCTGTTTAATCAAAAGAAAGATTTATCCTAGTGAGATCAATCCACACATTGCAAAGCATTTTCACACATGGCTTCTTTCTAGTTTTTATCATGAGATATTTGGTTTTTCTCCATAAGCCTCAATGGTCTCCAACATGTTCCTTCATACATTCTACAAAAAAAAAAAGTTTTCCAACCTTTTGAATCAAAAGAAAGGTTTACCTCTGTAAGATTAACCCACACATCACAAAACATTTTCACAGATAGTTCTCTTTGTTTTTTATTGTGAAATATTTTGTTTTTAACTAAAGGCCTAAGTGGGCTCCAAAATGTCCCTTCATAAATTCTACAAAAAAATGTTTTTCTAACCTGCCAAATCAACATAAAAGTTTAACCCTGTGAGATGAAACCTCCCATTGTGAAGCATTTTCACAGGTAGTTTCTTTTAAGTTTTTGCTTTCAGATATTTAGTCTTTCCTAATATGCCTCAATGTTCTCCAAAATGTCCCTTCGCATATTCTAGAAAAAAAGTGTTTCCAACCTACTGAATGAAAAAAAAAACTTGATCCCTTGAGATGAATCCACACATTTAGAAGCATTTTCACAGATAACTTCTTTCTAGTTCTTGTTGTGTAATATTTGGTTTTTCACTATAAGCCTCAATGGGCTCTGTAATGTCCCTTCGCAAGTTCCATAAAAAAAGTGTTTTCAATTTGTTAAATCAAAAGGAAGGTTTAACTTGATGAGATGAATCCAAACCTCACAAAACCTTTTCACAGATTCTTCCTTTCTAGTTTTTATCATGGGATACTCAGTTTTTACTATGGGCATCAAAGGGGTCCAAAAAGACCCTTCATAGAATTTTAAAAAAGAGTATTTCCAAACTGCTAAATGAAAAGAATTATTTGCCTTTGTGAGATGAATCCACATATGGCAAAATGTTTTCACAGATGGCTTCTTTGTATTTTTTATCAGAGGATGTTCAATTTTTCACCATAAACCTCAATGTGCTCTGAAATGTTCATTTGTATATTGTACAAAATAATTGTTTCTAATATGCTGATTAAAAAGTAATGTTTAAACTGGTGACATGAATCCACACATTGAAAAGAATTTTCACAAAGAGTTCATTTCTAGTTTTCATTGCTCGTTATTTGGGTTTTCACTATAGGCCTCAATGGACTTCGAAATGTCTCTTCATAGATTCTACAAAAAGAGGGTTTCAAACCTGCTGAATGAAACGAAAAGTTTAACTCTGTGAGAGAAATCCAGACATCACAAAGTTTATTGAATTATAGTTTCTTTCTAGTTTTTATTGTGGGATATTCAGGGTTGTTTTTTAACCATAGGCCTTAATGTGCTCAAAATGTCCCTTCATAGATTCTACATAAACAGTGTTACAAACCTGCTAAATCAGAAGAAATGATTATGTCTGTGAGATGAATCCACACATCACAAAGCCTTTTCACAGATGTCTTCTTTCTAGTATTTATTGTGGAATAATACTAGGCCTCAATAGGCTCAGAAATGTCTCATCATAGATTCTACAAAAAGAGTGTTTCCAACCTGCTAAATCAAAAGAAAGGTTTAAATCTGTAAGATGAATCCACACATCACAAAGCATTTTCACAGATAGCTTCTTTCTAGTTTTTATCATGAGATACTTAGTTTTTTACTACAGAAATGAATGGACTTTGAATTGTCCCTTTGTAAGTTCTACAAAAAGAGTGTTTCCAAACTGCTGAATCAAAAATAAGGTTTAATTTTGTGAGATAAATCCACACATCACAAATAATTTTCAAAAATAGTTTCTACTTTTTATCATAGGATCTTCTGTTATTCAGTATAGGCCTCAGTAGGCTTCAAAATGTTCCTTAGAAGATTCTAAAAAAAGAGTGTTTCCAACCTGTTAAATGAAAAGCAAGGTTTATGTCTGTGAGATGAATCCACATATCAGAGGGCGTATTCACAGATAGCTTCTTTCTAGTTTTATCACGGGATATTTTGTTTTTCACTATAGGAATCAATGGACTTTGAAATGTCCCTTGGTAAGTTCTACAAAAAGAGTGTTTCCAACCTGCTGTTTCAAAAGAATGGTTTAACTCTTTGAGATAAATCCACACATTGCAAAGTGCTTTCACAGATAGTTTATATTTTTTTTGTGACAGGATCTTCAGTTATTTACTATTCTGCTCAATGAGCTTCAAAATGCACCTTCGTAGATTCTACAAAAAGAGTGTTTACAACCTGCTGAGTGAAAATAAATATTTAAATCTTTGAGCTCAATCCACATATCATGACACTTTTTATAGATAGCTTCTTTCTAGTGTTTATCATGTGATATTTGGTTTTACAGTAAAGGCCTCCATGAACTCTGAAAAGTCCTTTCATCAATCCTACAACTACCCCAGAATAGAATGAATGGGAATGGTCAGCTTTACACTGAGACATTCCATTCCCAGGGAAGACCAGGAGACAGAAGACTTCCTCTTATCTCAACTGCAAAGAGGCCTCCCTCTTTCACTACTCCTCCTCAGCACAGACATTTACAGGTGTCAGGCTGGGGGATGGTAAGTTCTTTCCTTTCCCATGAGGCCATTTCTCAGGCTGTCTCAGTGGGGGGAAACCTTGGGAAATACCCAGGCTTTCTTGGGCAGAGGTCCCTGCAGTTTTCTGCAGTGCCTTTTGTAACTGGTTAATCGAGAATGGAGAATGGTGATGATTTTACCAAGCATACTTCCTGCAAACATATTGTTAACAAGGCACACCCTGCACAGCCCTAAATCCATTAAACTTTGATTCATTACAGCACATGTTTCTGTGAGCACAGGGTTGGAGCTAAAGTTACAGGTTAACAGCATCTCAAAGTGGAAACAATTTTTCTTAGTACAGATGAAAATGGAGTTTCTTATGTCTTCCTTTTCTACATAGACACAGTAACAATCTGATCTCTCTTTCTTTTCCCCACAAGTTTGACCCTTTGAGATGAATCCACACATCAGAAAGCATTTTTGCAGATAGCATGTTTTATTTTTTATCAAGGGATATACAATTTTGCTCTATAAGCCTAAAAGGACTCCAAAATGTCCCTTCATAGATTTTACAAAAAGGGTTTTTCCAACCTGCCAAATCAAAGAAAATGTTTAACTCTGTGGGATAAATCCTCACATTGTAAAGCATTTTCACAGATAGGTTTTTTCCAGTTTTTATCTTGGGATATTTGGTTTTTCACTACAAGCCTATATGGGCTATGATATGCCCCTTTGTAGTTTCTACAAAAAGAGTGTTTCCAACATGCTGAATGAAAAGAAAGTTGTAAAGCTGTGACATGAATCCACACATCACAAAGCATTTTCACAGGTAGCTTCTTTATAGTTTTTAAGGTGGCCTATTCAGGTTTTTACTGTAGTCCTCAATGGGCTTTGAAATGTCCCTTCATAGATTCTACAAAAACAGGGCTTCCAACCTGCTAAGTCAAAAGAAACGTTTAACTATGTGATATAAATTCACACATGGGAAAGCATTTTCACAGACAGTTTCTTAACAATTCTTATAGTGGAATATTCAGTTTTTCACTATAGGCCACAATGGGTTCTGAAATGTCCCTTCATAGATTCTAGATGAATCCACACATCACAATGTGTTTTCACAGATAGCTTCTTTCTAGTTTTTATCACAGGCTTTTCTGTTTTTCACTATGGGTCTCAATTGGCTCTGAAGTGTCTCTTTGTTGATTTTAGATAAAAAGATTTTCATCCTGCTGAATTAGAAAAATTTATTTAACTGTGAGCAGAATTCACCTATTGCAAAGCATTTTCACAGCTTCTTTAATTTTTATTGAAGCACATACGGTTTTTAACTACAAGCCTAAAAGCGTACCAAAATGTCCTTTCATAGATTCTACAAAAATAGTTTCTCCAACCTGCTGAGTCAAAGGAAATGTTTAACTCTGTGAGATAAATCTCCACCTTTTGAAACATTTTAAAGATAGCTTATTTCTAGTTTTTATCATGGGATATTAGTTTTTTCACTAAGGGCTCAATAGGCTATGAAGTGTCCCTTCATAGATTCTACAAAAATCGTGTTTCCATTCTGCTGAAAGAAAAGAAAGTTTTAAAGCTGTGACATGAATCCACACATTGCAAAGCATTTTCATAGGTAGCTTCTTTCTAGCTTTTGATGCGGGATATTCGGTTTTTCACTATAGGCCTCAATAGGCTCCAAAATGTCTCTTCATAGATTCTACAAAAAGAGGGTTTCCATCTTGCTAAATAAAAAGAAAGATTTAACTCTGTGATGTGAATTAACACATCACAAAACATTTTCACAAGCAGGTCCTTTCCAGTGTATATCAGGATATTCTGTTTCTCACTATATGCCTCAATGAACTCTGAAATGTCCCTTCTTAGATTCTACAAAAGAAGTGTTTCCAACTTGCTGAATCAAAAGAAAGGTTTAGCTATGTGAGACAAATCCACACAGCACAAAGCATTTTAACAGATGCCTTCTTTCTACTTTTTATTGTGGAGTGTTCGGTTTTTCATTATAGGCCTCAATGAGCTCCAAAATGTCTTTTTATAGATACTTCAAAAACAGTGTTTCCAACCTGCTAAATCAAAAATAAAATTGAACCCAGTGAGATGAATCTTCAATTCGCAAAGCATTATCAGAGATAGATTCTTTCTAGTTTTTGTTACAAGATATTTGGTTTTTAACTCTATGCCTAAATGAACTCTGAAATGTCCCTTCTTAGATTCTACAAAAAAAGTGTTTCCAACTTGCTGAATCAAAAGAAAGGTTTAGCTCTGTGAGACAAATCCACACATCACAAAGCATTTTAACAGATGCCTTCTTTCTAGTTTTTATTGTGGAGTGTTTGGTTTTTCATTATAGTCCTCAATGAGCTCCAAAATGTCTTTTCATAGATACTTCAAAAAGAGTGTTTCCAACCTGCTAAATCAAAAACAAAGTTGAACCCGGTGAGATGAATCTTCGATTCACAAAGCATTATCACAGATAGATTCTTTCTAGTTTTTATTGCAGGATATTTTGTTTTTCACTATATGCCTAAATGGGTTTTGAAATATCCCTTGGTAGATTCGAAAGAAAGAGTGTTTCCAACCTGCTGAATGAAAAGAAAGTTGTAAAGCTGTGACATGAATTCACACATCACAAAGTGTTTTCATAAACAGTTTCTTTCTAGTTTTTATAGCAGGATATTTTGTTTCTCACTGTATGCATCAATGGGCTCCGAAATGTCCTTCGTAGATTCTACAAACTGTGGTTACAATCTGCTGAATAAAAATAAATGTTTAACCCTGTGAGATAAAGCCACACATCACAAAGCATTTAAAAGATGTCTTCTTTCTAGTTTTTATAGTGGAAATTTGGTTTTTCACTATAAACCTCAAAGAGCTCCAAAATGTCTTTTGTAGATACTACAAAAAGGGTGTTTCCAACCTGCTGAATTCAAAGTAAAGATGAACCCGGTGAGATGAATGTTCAATTCACAATGAGTTGTCAAAGATAAATTCTTTCTAGTTTTTATTACAGGATATTTTGTTTTTCACTATATGCCTAAATGGACTGTGGAATGTTTCTTTGTAAATTCTACAAAAAGAATGTTTCCATTCTGCTGAATCAAAAGAAAGGTTTACCTCTGTGGGATGAATTCACACATCATGAAGCATTTTCACAGATAGCTTCTTTCTGGTTATTTTGTGGGATATTTGGTTTCTCTGTAGGAATAAAAGGGTTTCAGAATTTTTCTTCATAAATTCTACAAATAGAGTTTTTCCAACCTGCTGAATCAAAAGAAAGTTTCAACTCTTTGAGGTGAATCCACACATTTCAATGCATTTTCAACCATAGCTTCTTACTAGTTTTTATTGAAGGATATTCAGTTTCTCACTAGAGATCTCAGTGGGCTCAGAAATGTTTTATTGTAGATAATACCAAAAGAGTGTTTCCAACCTGCTATATATATATATATACACACACACATAAGTTTTAACTCTGTGAGATGAATCCACATATCACAACACGTTTCAACAGACAGATTTTTTTTTTTTTTAGTTTTTATTACAGAATATTAGGTTTTTCAATATTGGTCTCAATGAACTCTGAAATGTCCCTTCATAGTGTTTCCTACCTGTTAAATCAAAATAAAGTTTTAACCCAATGAGAAGAATCCTCACATTGCAAAACATTTTCACAGATAGCTTCTTTCTAGTTTTTACCATGGTTTATTAAGTTTTTTACTATAGGCATGAATGGGCTCTGAAATCCCTCTTCTTAGATTCTATAAAAATAGTGTTTCCAACCTACTGAATAAAAGAAAGATTTAACTCTGTGAGATAAATGCACACATTGCAAAGCATTTTCACACATTGCTTCATTTGAGTTTTTATCACAGGAAATTGGGTTTTTCATTAGAGACCTCAATGGAAACTGATATGTCATTTCATATATTCCACAGGAATAGTGTTTCCAGCCTTCTGAATCAAATCAAACGTTAAAATTTGTGAGATAAATTCACACATCACAAAGCTGTTTCTAAGACAGTTTCTTTCTAGATTTTATCATGGGATATTCAGTTTATCACTAATGGCTTCAAACAGCTGTGAAATGTTTCTTAGTAGATTCTAAGAAAGAGTGTGACCAGCCTGCTGAATTAAAAGAAAGGCTTAATTCTGGGAGATTAATCCACACATCATGAAGCATTTGCACAGACAGCTTCTTTCTAGTTTTTATTGCAAGATATTTGGTTTTTCATCACTGGCTTCAATGGGCTCTGAAAATTGTCTTTCTAGGTTGTGCAATAATAATATTTCCAATTTGCAGAATCTAAAGAAACACTTATCCTGGTGAGATAAATCCACACATTGCAAAGCATTTTCACAGACAGCTTCTTACTAGTTTTAATCTCAAGATATTCAGTTTTTCAGTATAGGCGACAATGGGCTACAGAATATCCCTTTGTAGATTCTACAAGAAGAGTGTTTCCAACCTGCTAAATCAAAAGAAAGGTTTAACTCTGTGAGATGAATCTACACATTGCAAAGACGTTGCACAGATAGCTTCTTTCAAGTTTTTATTGCTTGATATTTGGTTTTTCACTATAGGCCTCAATGGGTTCCCAAATGTCTCTTCATAGATTCTAGAAAATAAATGTATCCAACCTGCTGAATCAAAAGCGTGGTTTAACTCTGTAAGATGAATCCACACATCACAAAGAAGTTTCATAGATAGATTCTATCTAGTTTTTATAGCAGGATATTTTGCTATACACTATAGGTCTCTGCGGGCTTTAAAATGTTTCTTCATAGATTCTACAAAAAGAGTATTTTCAACCTACTGATTCAAAAAAAAGTTTAATTCTGTGAGATGAAATGACACATCACAGTGTGTTTTCACAGATATTTTCTTTTCTTTTTTTTTTTTAATTGCTGGATATTTGGTTTTTCACTACAGGATTCAATGAACTCTGAATTTTTTTTTTTTTTTTTTTTTTTGGTAGATTCTCCAAAATGAGGGATTCCAAAATTCTGAATCAGAATGAAGGTTAAACTCATTGAGATGAATCCAAAAAATCAGAAAGTTGTTTCATAGATAGCTTCTTTGTAGTTTTTATCAAAAGAAATTTGGCTTTTCATTATAGGAACCAATGGGTTCCAAAATGTCTCTTGGTTGATTTTAAGAAAAAGGGTTTTCCAACCATCTGAATCAAAAGCAAGGTTTAACACTGTAAGATGAATCCACACATTGCAAAGAGGTGTCACAGATAGCTTCTTTTTAGTTTCTATTATGGGATGTTCTGTTTCTCACTACAGGCTTCAAAGGGCTCCGAAATGTCCCTTTGTAGATTTTACAAAAAGAGTATTCCCAACTTGTGGAATCAAAAGAAAAGTTTACCTTTGTGAGTGTAATCCACACATCACAAATAAATTTCACAAATAGCTTCTTTCTAGTTTTATCACAGGATACTCAGTTTTTACTATACGCCAGAGTGGGCTCCAAAATGTCCCTTCACAGATTCTACAAATAAAGTGTTTCTAACCTGCTGAATCAAAAAAATAGGTTTAATTCTCTGAAATGAATCCACACAAGGCAAAGCAGTTTCACAGGTAGCTTCTTTCTAGTTTTTGTTGCAGGATATTCAGTTTTTCACCATTGGCATCAAAGAGCTTTGAAATTTCCCCACAAAAAGAGTGTTTCCACCTCCTGAATCCAAAGAAAGCTTTAACTCTGTGAGATGAATCCACAGATCACAAAACATTTCCACAGATAGCTTCTATGTAGTTTTTATGGCAGGGCATTCGGTTTTTCACCATTGGCCTCAGCAGGCTCAAAATATTTCTTTATAGATTCAACAAAAAGATGGTTTCAAACCTGCTAAATCAGAAGAAAGATTTAACTTTGTGAGCTGAATCCACACATCACAAAGCTGTTTTACACATAGCTTCTTTCTAGTTTTTTTGGTGGGATAATGAATTTTTCACCATTGGTTTTAATGGGCTAAAAAAGGTCTCTCCTAGATACCACATAAAATGTGTTTCCAACCTGCTGAATCAAAAATGTTCAACTCTGTGAGATGAAACCACACATCACAAAGTGTTTTCACAGATAGCTTCTTTCTAGCTTTTATTGTGGGATTTTTTTTTCTCAACATTGAAGTCAATGGCCTCTGAAATGTCCTTTCAGAGATTTCACAAAAAAAGTTACCATCCTGCTTAATCTAAAAACATTTAAGTCTCTAAGATGAATCTACACATCACAATGAGTTTCCAGAGATAACTTCTTTCTAGTTTTCTCACAGGATTTTGATTTTTCACCATTTGCCTCAATGGGCTCCAAAATATTTTTTAATAGATTCCACAAACAGGGTGTTTTCAAGTTGCTGAATCAAAAGAACTGTTTAACTCTGTGTGATAAATACACACATTGCAAAGTGGTTTCACAGATGGCATCTGTCTTGTTTTTATTGTGGGATATTCAATTTTTCACAATTGACCTCAAAGGGCTCTGAAATGTTGCTTTGAACATTCCACAAAAAAAAGTGTTTCCAACCTGCTGAATAAAAATAATGGTTTACATCTGTGAGATAAATCCACACATCACAAAATGGTCTCACAGATAGCTTATTTGTATTTTCTATGAGGGGTATTCAGTTTTTCATGAGTGGCTGCAATGGCCTCTGAATTATACCATTGGAGATTCAACAAAAAGAGTGGTTCCAATGTGCTGAATCAAAAAAAAGATTTAACTTGTAAGGTGAATCCACACATCACAAAGCAGTTTCACAGAGAGCTTTTGTCAGTTTTTATCATGTGATATACGGCTTTTCACCATTGGTCTCATTAGACTTCGAATAGTTCCTACATCAATTCAACAAAGAGTGTTTCCAACTAGCTGAATCAAAAGAAAGGTTTAACTCTTTGAGATGAATCCACACATCACAATGCAGTTTCACAGACAGCTTCTTTCTGGTTTTTATCATGGGATATTTGGTTTATCACTATTGGCCTCAATGGGCTCCAAAATGACCCTTTGTATATTCAACAACAAAAGTGTTTCCAACCTGCTTATTGAAAATAAATGTATTGCTCTGTGAGTGCATCCTTACATGGTAAAGCAATTTTACATACAGCTTCTTTCTAGTTTTTATTGCAAGATATTCATTTTTCAACACTTTCTCCAATGGTCTTCAAAATGTGCATTCATACATTCCTCAAAAAGTGTGTTTCCAACCTGATTAATCAAAAGCAAAGTTTAACTTTGTGAGGTGGTTCCACACATCACCAAGTGGTTTCACAGATAACATTTTTCTAGTTTTTATTGCAGAATATTCATTTTTTCATCACTGACCTCAATGGGTTCCAAAATATCCCTTTGTAGATTCCACAATGACAGTGTTTCCAACCTGGTGAATCAAAGGAAAAGTTTAACTCTCTGAGATGAATCCACACATCACAAATCCGTTTCATAGGTGGTTTGTTTGTTTTTTTTAATCATGATATATTTTTCACCACTGGCCAGAATGGGCTCCAAAATATCCCTTGCTAGATACCAAAAAATGAGGGTTTCAAACCTACAGAATCAAAAGAAATGTTTAACTTTGTGAGATAAATCCACACATCAAAAGCAGCTTCAAAGATAATGTTTTCCTCGTTTTTATTGTGAGATATTCAGTTTTTCAACATTGGCTTCAATGTGCTCAGAAATGTACCTTCGTAGATTCCACAAGAAAAGTTTTTCCAAACTGGTAAATTAAAAACAAAGGTTTAACTCTGTGAGATGAATCCCCACATCACAAAGCAGTTTCACAGATAGCTTCTTTCTAAGTTTTATTGCTAGATGTTCAGTTTTTCATCATTGGCCTCAATGGCCCCCCAGTGTCCCTTTGAAGATTCCGCAAAAAGAGTGTTTTAAATCTACTGAATAAAAAGAAAGGTTTAACTCTGTGACATGAATACACACATCACAAAGCATTTCACATATGGCTTCTTTCTAGTTTTTATGGAGAAATATTCTGTTTGTTACCATGGTCCTAAATAGGCTTTGAAATTTCCTTCATAGATTCCACAAAAAGAATGTTTACAAACTTCTGAATCAAAATAAAAGTTTATCTTTCTAAGATAAATCCACACATCACAAAGCAGTTTCACAGATAGCTTCTTTCTGTGCTTTACGTGGGGTATTCATTTTCTCACCACTGGCCTCAATGGGATTTGAATTGTCCCATCAGAGATTCAACAAAAAGAGTGTTTCCAACGTGATGAATGAAAAGAAAAATTTAACTCTGTAAGATGAATTCACACATATCAAAGTGATTTCACAGGTGGATTGTTTCTAGTTTTTATTGCAGGATATTGTGTTTTTCACCATTGGCATCAATGGGCTCTGAAATGACCCTTTGCAGATTCCACAATACAAGTGTTTCCAACCTGCTGTGTGCAAAGAAACGTATAACACTGAGACGAATGCACATAACACATAGTGGTTTCACAGAGATATTCTTTCTAGTTTCTATTGCGGGATATTCAGTTTTTCACCATTGGCCACAATGGGGCCCAAAATGTACATTCATAGATTCCACAAAAATATGCTGAATCAACAGCAATGTTCAATTCTTTGAGATGAAACCCCACATCACAAAGCATTTTCACAGATAGATTCTTTCTAGTTTTTATCACAGAATGTTCAGCTTTTCTCTGTTGGCCTTAATGAGCTCTGAAATTTCCTTTCTTAGGTTCCACAAAAGAAGTGTTTCCATAGTTTTGAATCATAAAAAGGTTTAATTCTGTAAGATAATTCCACACATCACAAAGCAGTTTCACAGAGAGATTCTTTCTAGGTTTACTGTGTGATATTTGTTTTTTCATCATTGGCCTCAATGGACTTTGAAATGTCCCTTTGTAGATTCCACAAAAAGAGTGATTCCAATCTGCTGAATCAAAAGAAAGGTTTAAATATGTGAGATGAATCCACACACTGGAAAGCAGTTTCACAGATAGGTTCGTTCTAGTTATTATCTGGGGATATTCTGTTTTCCACTATAGGTTTCATTGGGCTCCCAAATGTCCCATTGCAGATTCTACTAAAAGAATGTATCCAACTTGCTGAATCAAAAGAAAAGTTTAACTCTCTGAACAGAATCCACACATTGCAAAGCAGTATCACAGATAGCTTCTTTTTAGTTTTTATCATGGGATACTTTATTTACTAACATTGGCCTCAGTGGGCTCTAAAATTTTTCTTCATAGGATTAATGCAAACAGTATTTCAAACCTGCTGAATTAAAGGAAAGGTTTATCTCTGTGTGATAAATCCAAACATTGCAAAGAGGTTTCACAGATAGCTTCTTTCTAATTTTTATCAAGAGATATTCAGAGTTTCAGCAATGGCATTCACAGGCTCCAAAATGTCCCTTCGTAGATTGCACACAGAGTATTTCCAACATGGCTAATCAAAAGAACAGTTTTACTCTGTGAGATGAATCCAAACATTGCAAAACAGTTTATCAGATAGGTTCTTTCTACTTTTAATCATAAGATATTCAGTTTTTCAGTGTTGGCATCAATGGAATCTGAAAACTTCTTCGTAGATTCCACAAGAAATCTTTTCCCAACCTGTTGAATCAAAACAAAGGTTTAACTTTGTGAAATGAATCCACTTTCAAAAAGTTTTTTAACATATGGCTTCTTTCTATTTTTTATCATGGAATATTGTGTTTTTCACCATTGGCCTTAATGAGCTCTGAAATATCTTTTACTAGATTCTACTAAAGAAGTGTTTCCAACCTGCTGAATCAAAACAAAGGTTTAACTCTGTGAGGTGAATTCATGCATCACAAAGCAGTTTCACAGATAGCTTCTTCCTAGTTTTTATGGTGGGATAATTGTTTTTTCACCATTGTCCTTGAAGGACTCTGAAAAGTCCCTTAGTAGATTTCACAAAAATATATTTTCTACCTGCTGAATCAAAAGACTGGTTTAAGTCTGTGAGTTGAATCCAAATATCATATAGTGCTATCAAAGATTTTTTCTAGTATTTATTATGGGATATTCTGTTTTTCATGATTGGCCTCAGTGGGCTCTGAAATGAACCTCTGTAGATTTAATCAAAAAAGTATTTCAAACTTGCTGAATAAAGAAAAAGTTTTAAATCTGTGAGATGAATCCAAACATTGCAAAAAGGTTTCAAAGAGCCTTCTTTCTAGTTTTTAACACGGGATATTTGATTTTTCACTATTTGTTTCAAAGGGCTCCTAAATGTCCCTTTATAGATTCCACAAATGTGAGCACTTCTAACCTGCTGAATCAAATGGAATATTTAACTCTGTGAGATGAATGTACACTTCACAAGGTGGTTTCATATATTGCTTCTTTCTCATTTTTAATGGGTGATATTCAGTTTCTCACCATTGGCGTTAATGTGCTCCAAAATGTCCCTCCATAGATTCCACAAAAAGAATGTTTCCAACCTACTGAATCAAAATAAATGTTTAACTCTATGAGATGAATCGACTCATCCCAAAAATGTTTCACAAAATGCTTCTTTCTAGTGTTTATCATGGGATATATGGTTTCTCACCATTGACCTCAATGGACTCTGTCTTGTCTCTTCGTAGATTCCACAAAAAGATGTTTCCAACGTGCTGAATCAAAACAATGTTTTAACTCTGTGAGTTGAATGCATACATCATAAAGCAGTTTCAAAGATAGCTTCTTTCTAGTTTTTAATGCAAGATATTCTGTGTTTCAGCATTGGCATTAACAACCTCTGAAATATCCCTTTGTAGATTTTATGAAAAATGTGTCTCCAACCTGCTGAATCATAAGAACAACTTAACTCTGTGAGATAAATCCAAACATCACAAAGCCATTTCTCAGATAGCTTCTTTCTCGTTTTTATTGTGGGGTTTTCACTTTTTCAATATAGGCCTCAATGGGCTCTGAAGTTTCCCTTAGTGGATTCCACAAAAATGCAACCTGCTGAATCAAAAGGAGGTTTAACTCTGTGAGCTGAATTCAAATTGCAAAGTGGTTCCACAAAAGCCTTCCTTCTAGTTTTTTATCACCAGATATTCATTTTTTACCTTGGCCCCAATGGGTTCCAGAATGTCATTTTGCAGATTTCACAAAAAGAGTGTTTCTAACCTGCTGAATCAAACGAAAGGTTTAATGTGTTAAATGAATCCACACATTGCAAAGTGGTTTCACAGATAGCTTCTTTCTAGTTTTCATCATAAAATATTCAATTTTTCACCATTGGCCTTAATTTGCTCCAAAATGTGTCTTTGTAGATTTTACGAAAAGAGTGTTTCCAAACTGCTGAATTTAAGGAAAGGTTTTACTTTGGGAGATGAATCCACACATCATAAAGGGGTTTCACAGGGAACTTCTTTCTAGCTTTTATCATGGGATATTTGGTGTTTCAGCATTGGCATCAATGGGCTGCAAATTGTTCTGAGGTGTTGCTCTTCACACTTGAGAACATTAATTGTGAGGATCTTCCCACAGACCCTGACTCAAAAGATAGGTGAATAAAACGTACAAAGACACACAGATATTCTGTTTAGCCAGTCCAGATGAGTGTCTGACAACCTGCACACCAAGAGAGGTTTCTCACAGTGGCCAGCCCTGAGCAGCTCACACTCAAGTCATTTATTTAATATGCAATTAACAACAAAAGTTTTGAGTCAACACATTTGTGTATCATTAACATGGTTAAGAGAGTAGTTCTACAAGTGATTAAAGCTCAGGTACCACGATCTAAAGTAAATACCATTAGGGGGCAACATCCCTGGTTGACATCCTCTCAAGAGGGCTATCTGGCTGAAAGGTTAGTTAATGGAGGTAGGATAAATAGATTTAACTGGGGAAGCTTCTATTGTCCCTAGTATTTAACGTATTACCTAATGCTCTAAAGTAAGAACCGGCTGCCTTCAGCCTGCTCAATTATTGTAAGCTATGTAACTTTTCGGACTTCCAAAATGTTTGTGACTATTTCCTACAACTTTCCCTAATATTTCTCTTTAATATTTCTGCCACCATGCTGAGTGAATCCCAACATTGTCCCTTTGTAGATTCCAAAAAGAAATTTTCAACCTGCTAAATCTAAAGAAATGTTTAACTCTGTGAGATGAATCCACACATCCCAAAGCAGTTTCACAGATGGCTTCTTTCTAGATTTTATCTCGGGATATTGGATTTTTCACTATTGGCCTCAATGGGCTTTGAAATGTCCCTTTGTAAATTTCACAAAGCAAGTGTTTCCAACCTGCTGAATCAAAACAAAGTTTAACACTGTGAGTTGAATTCACACATCATGAAGCGCTTTCACAGATAGCTTCTTTCTAAATTTTAATGTGGGATATTCAGATTTTTAACATTGCCCTAAATTAGCTCAGAAATGTCCTTTTGTAGATTCTAAATGAGGGGTGTTCGCAATCTGCTAAATCTAAAGAAAGGTTTAACTATTTGAGGTGAATCCATGCATTGCAAATCAGTTTCACAGATAGCTTCTTTCTTTTTATATCACGATAATTGGTTTTTCACCACTGGACTCAATGGGCTCTGAAATGTCCCTTTGAATATTCAACAAAAAAGTGTTTCCAACCTGCTGATTCAAAAGAATGGTATAACTCTGTGAGATGAATCCTCACATAGAAAAATGGTCTCACCAATATTATCTTTTTAGTTTTTATCATGAGATATTCGGTTTTTCACCATTGGCCTCAATGGGCTTAGAACTGTAATTTCAGATTCTACAAAAAGAGTGTTTCCAACCTGATGAATCGAAAGAAAGTTTGAACTCGGTGAGATGGATCTACGCATCACAAAGCAAATTCACAAGCACATTCTTTCTAGTTTTTATCATGGAATATTCATTTTTTTTACCATTGGCCTCGAAGGGCTCCAAAACGTTTCTTCATAGATTTCACAAACACAAGAGTTTTCAACTGCTGAATCAATAAACAGGTTTAATTCTGTGAGATGTATCCACATATTGCAATGCTGTTTCACAGATGGCTTTTTTCTAGTTTTTATTGTGGGTTATTGTGTTTTACACCATTGGCAACAGTGAGTCTCGAAATGTCCCTTCCTAGATTCCACAAAATGAGTGTTTCCAACTTGCTGAATCCAAAGAAAAGTGTAACTCTGTGAGATGAATCCACATGTCACAAAGAGGTTTCACAGAGAGGTCCTTTCTTGTTGTTATGGCGGGATATTTGGTTTTTCACCATTGGGCTCAATGGGCTCTGAAATGTCCCTTTGTAGATTCCACAAAAAGAGTGCTTCCAATCTGCTGAATCAAAATAAATATTCCACTCTGTGAGATGAATCCACACATCACAAAGGAGTTTCACAGATAGTTTCACTCTAATTTTTGTCACAGGATATTCTGTTTTTCCTCATTGGTCTTAATGGGCTCTGAAATGTCCTTTTGTATATTCCACAAAAAGAGTGTTTCCAACCTGCTGAATCAGAAGAAAGGTTTAACTGTCTGAAATGAATCCACACATTGCAAAACGGATTCACAGAGAAACTTCTTTCTAATTTTTATTGTGTGATATTTCATTTTTCAACATGGGCCATATTGGGCTGCAAAATTTTTCTATCTAGATTTTACAAAAAAGTGCTTTCCATCTGTTATATCAAAAGAAAATTTTAACTCTGTGAGAGGAATCCACACTTCACAAAGCAGTTTCACAGACTGCTTCTATCTAGTCACTATCACAGAATTTTTTTTTCACTTTTACCTGCAACGGGCTCTCAAATGTCCTTTTGTATATTCCAAAAAACGAGTGTTTCCAACCTGCTAAATCAAAAGAAAGGTTAACTTTGTGAGATGATTCCACACGTTGCTAAGCGATTTCACAGATGGCTTCTTTCTAGTTTTATCATGGGATATTGTGTTTTTCATCATTGGCATCAATGGGCTCTGAAATGTCCCTTTCTAAATTCCACAAAACGAGTTTTCAACCTGCTGAATCCAAAGAAAGGCATAACTCGGTGGGATGCATCCACATATTGCAAAGCAGTTTCACTGAGAGCTTCTTTCTAGTTTTTATGGTGGGATATTTGGTTTTTCACTATTGGCCTCAATGGGCTCTGAAATGTCCCTTTGTAGGTTCCACAAAGACCTGCTGAATGAATAGCAGTGTTCAACCCTTTGAGATGATTCCACACATCGCAAAGCAATTTCACAGAGAGGATTCTTCTAATTTTTATTATGGGATATTTTGTTTTTCACCTTTGTCATCAATGGGATCTTAAAATCCCCTTCATAGATTCCACAAAAACCTGCTTTCATCCTGCTGATAAAAGGAAAGGTTTAAATCTCTGAAATGAATCCACACTCCACAAAGCAGCTTCACATATAGCTTCTTTCTAGGTTTTACCACGGGATATTTGGTTTACCAGCAATGGCCTCAATGGGCTCCAAAATGTCTCTTCATATATTTCATAAAAACAGTGTTTCAAACCTGCTGCATCAAAGAAAATGTTTAACTCTGTGAGATAAATCCACACATGGCAAAACGGTTTCACCAATAGCATCATTCTAGTTTTTATTGCAACATATTTGGTTTTTCACCATTGGCCCAATGGGCTTAGAAATATAATTTCATAGATTCCACAAAAAGAGTGTTTCCAACCTGATGAAACAAAAGAAAGGTTGAACTCTGTGACATGAATTCATACATCACAAACAAGGTCACAGATACCTTCTTTCTAGTTTTTGTCATGGGATATTTATTTTTTTACCATTGGCTTCAAAGGGCTCCTAAATGTTCCTTTGTAGATTCCACAGACATAAGAATTTTCAACTACTGAATCAATAAAAAGGTTTAACTCTGTGAGATGAATCCATATGTTGCAAAGCTGTTTCACAGATGGCTTTTTTCTAATCTTTATCATGGGATATTGTGTTTTTCACAATTGGCAACAGTGAGCCTCAAAATGTCCCTTCCTAGATTCCACAAAATGAGTATTTCCAACCTGCTGCATCCAAAGAAAGGTATAACTCTGTGAGATGAATCCACATATCACAAACAGGTTTCACAGAGAGGGCCTTTCTAGTTGTTATGGTGGGATATTTTGTTTTTCACCATTGAGCTCAATGTGCTCTGAAATGTTCCTTTGTAGATTCCACAAAAGAGTGCTTCCAATCTACTGAATCAAAATAAATATTCAACTCTGTGAGATGAATCCACACATCACAAAGGAGTTTCACAGATAGTTTCACTCTAATTTTTGTCACAGGATATTCTGTTTTTCCCCATTTTCCTCAACAGACTCTGAAATATCTCTTCATAGGTGCCACAAAGAAAGAGTTTCCAACTTCTGAATTAAAAAAAGTTTAACTTTGTAAGATGTATTTGTACAACACAAAGTGGATTCACAGAGAGCTTCTTTCTAATTTGTATTGTGTGATATTTTGCTTTTCAGCATGGGCTGCATTGGGCTCCAAAATTTTCATTTCTAGATTTCACAAAAAAATATTTCCCACCTGCGGAATCAAAAGAAAGTTTTAATTCTGTGAGAAGAATCCACACATCTCAAAGCAGTTTCACAGATTGACTCTATCTAGTCTTTATCACTGAATATTTTTTCACCTTTAGCAGCAATGAGCTCTCAAATGTCCCTTCACACATTCCACAAAACGAGTGTTTCCAATCTGCTGAATCAAAAGAAAGGTTAACTTTGTGAGATGATTCCACACGTTGCTAAGCGATTTCACATATGGCTTCTTTATAGTTTTATCATGGGATATTGTGTTTTTCACCATTGGTGTCAATGGGCCCCAAAAAGTCCCTTCCTAAGTCCCACAAAATGCAGTTTCCAACCTGCTGAATCCAAGGAAATGCATAATTCTGAGATGAATCCACATATCACAAAGTGATTTCAATCAGAGCTTCTTTCTAGTTTTTATGGTGGGATATTTGTTTTTTTCACCATGGGCTTGAATGGGCTCTGAAATGTCCCTTTGTAGGTTCAACAAAAACCTTCTGAATCAATAGTAATGTTCAACTTTTTGAGATGATTGCAGACCTCAAAAAGCAGTTTCACATAGAGCATTTTTCTAGGTTATATCACGGGATATTTGGTTTTTCACATTGGTCTCAATGGCCTCCAAAATGTCATTTTGTATATTCCACAAAAAGAGTGTTTCCAACTGCTGAATCAAAAGAAAGTTTTAACTCTCTGAAATAAATACACACACCACAAAGCAATTACATATGTAGCTTCTTTCTAGTTTTTATCGTGGGTGATTCTGTTTATCAGCATTGTTGTCAATGGGCTCCATAATGTCTCTTCATAGATTTCACAAAAACAGTGTTTCAAACCTGCTGCATGAAAGAAAAAATTTAACTCTGTGAGATGAATCCACATATCCCAAAACTGTTTCTCGGATAGCTTCTTTCTAGTTTTTAACATGAGATATTAGGTGTTTCAGCAATGGCACTGAAATGGCTCTGAAATGTCCCTTGTCAGATACCACAAAAAGAGTGTTTCCAACCTGCTGAATCAAAAGACAGGTTTGCTTCAGTGAGATAAATTCACACATCACAAAGCAGTTTCACAGAGAATACTTTCTAATTTTTATTGCTGGATATTGTGTTTTTCACCATTGTCCTCAATGGGATTCGAAAATCCCCTTCTTAGATTCCTCAAATAAACTGTTTCCATCCTGTTTAATCAAGACAAAAGTTTAAATTTGTGAGATAAATCCAACTCTGTGAGGTGATTTCACAGATGGCTTCTTTTATTTTTTATAGCAGGGTACTCTCTTTTACACTATTGGCTTTAATGGGCTCTGAAGTGTCCCTTGCTAGATTCTACTATACAAGTGTTTTGAACCCACTTAATCAAAAGAAAGGTTTAACTCTGTGATATGAATCCACGCTTTGCAAAGGAGTTTCATAGATAGTTGCTTTCTAGATTTTACTGCAGGATATTTAGTTTTTCAGCATTGGCCTCAAAGGGGTCAAAAAGTCTTTTTGTAGATTTCATAAAACAAGTCTTTCCAAACCATGAATAAAAAGAAATGTTTAACTCTGTGAGATTAACCCACGCATTGCAAAGTGGTTTCACAGGTAGATTCTTTCTGGGTTTTAGCAGGGGATATTCAATTGTTCACCATTGGCCTCAATATGCTCCAAAATGTCCGTTCATAGATTCTACAAAAAGAGTGTTTCCAACCTGCTGAATCAAAATAAAGGTTTAACTCTGTGTGATGAATTCACACATAGCAAATCAGTTTCACACATATCTTCTTTCTAGTTTTTATAATGGGATATTCAATTTTTCAACATTGGCCACAACGGACTGTGAAATTTCCCTTTGTAGATTACACAAATAGTGTGTTTGCAACCTGCTGAAACAAAAGAAATGTTTTAACTCTGTGAGATGAATCCACACATGGAAACGTAGTTTCACAGATAGGCTCTTTCTAGTTTTTATTGCAGGGTATTCAATTTTTCATCATTGGTCTCAATGGGCTCTGAAATGTTCCTTCGAAGATTCCACAAAAAGATTGTCTCCAACAAGCTTAATCAAAGAAAAGGTTTAACTTTGTTAGATGAATCCAAACATTGACAAGCGGTTTCACAGAGAGCTTATTTCTAGTTTATATTGTGGGATATCTTGTTTTTCAGCATTGGCATCAATAAGTTCCAAAATGTCCCTTCGTAGATTAGACAAAAAAAGTATTTTCAAACTGCTGAATCAAAAGAAACGTTTAACTCTGTGAGATGAATCCACACATTGAAAAGTGGTTTCACAGATGACTTCTTTCTAGTTTTTTATCATGGGATATTGGCTTTTTACTATTTGCTTCAATGGGCTTTCAAATGTCTTTTTGTAAATCCCAAAAGTGAGTGATTCGAACCTCCTGAATCAGAAGAAAGTTTTAACTCTGTGAGATAAATTCACACATCAGAAAGCAGTTCCACAGATAGCAAGTTTTTAAATTTTTAACACAAGATATTCAGTTTTTCATCTTTGGCCTCAATAAGCTGTGAAATGTACTTTCATAGATTCCAGAAAGGAGTATTTTCAACGTGCTGAATCAAAAGAAAGACTTAGCTCTTTGAAATGTATCCACAAATTGCAAATCAGTTTCACAGATAGCTTTCTTTCTTAATTTTATCATGAGATATTTTGGTTTTCCACAATTGGCCTCAGTGGGCTCAGTAATGTTTCTTTGTATATTCAACACGAAGAGTCTTTCCAACTTGCTGAATAAAAAAAAAAGTATAACTCTATGAGATAAATCCACACATCACAAAGCAGTTTCACCAATAGCATCTTTCTAGTTTTTATCACTGGATATTCAGTTTTTCACCCATGGCCCAATGGGCTTCAAAATATACTTTCATAGATTCCGCAAAAAGAGTGTTCCCAACTTGATGAATGAAAACAAAGATTTATCTCTGTTAGATGAATCAGCACATCACAATGCAATTTTACGGATATTTTCTTTCTAGTTTTTATCTCAGGATATTCTTTTATTCACCACTGGCTGCAGAGTGCCCCAAAATGTCCATTTGCAGATTCCACAAACACAGTGTTTTCAACTGCTGAATCAATAAAAAGTTTTACTTCTGTAAGATGAATCCATGGATCTCAAAGCAGTTTCACAGATGGCTTCTTTGTAGTTTTTATTGCAACATATTTTGTTTTTCAACATTGGCATCAATGAGCTCTGAAAAGTTCCCACCTAGATTTCACAAAACGAGTGTTTCCAACATGCTGAATTGAAAGAAAGTTATAACTCTGTAAGGTGAATCCAAATAATACAAAACGGTTTCACAGAGCACTCCTCTCTAATTTTTATGGTGGGATACTCAGCTTTTCACCATTGGCCACAGTAGGCTCCAAAATGTCCCTTTGTAGATTCCACAGATATGTGTTTCCAACCTGCTGAATCAAAAGAAAGTTTTATCTCTTTGAGATGAATCCACACATATAAATTCGATTTCACAGATAGCTTCTCTCTAGCTTTTATTATGAGATATTTGGTTTTTCACTATTTGCCTCAATGGGCTCCTGAAGGTTCATTCATAGATTACACAAAAAGAGTGTTTCCAACTTACTGAATAAAATTTTTTTAACCTCTTTGAGATGAATCCACACATTGCAAAGCAGTTTCACATATATCTTCTTTATAGTTTTTACCTTAGGATATTCAATTTTACACCATTGGCCTCAATGAGCTTGGAAATTTCCCTTCATAGATTACAAAAATAGAGTGCTTCCAACTTGCTGAAGGAAAACAAAGGTTTAACTCTGTGAGATGAATGGACTCATTGCTAAACGACTTCAACAATTGTTTCTTTCTAGTTTTTTCATGGGATATTCAATTTTTAACCATTGATCTCAATGGGCTTTGAAAAGTCTCTTCATAGATTTCACAAAATGGGTGTTTCAAACTCGCTGAATCAAAATAAATGTTCAGGTCTCTGAGATGAATCCACACATTGCAAAGCAGTTTCACAGATAGTTTCTTTCTAGTTTTTATTGCAGGATATTCTGTTTTTCTCCATTGGCCTCAATGGGCTCTTAAATGTCCCTTCGTAGGTTCCACAAAAAATATTTCCAACCTTCTGAATCAACAAAAGGATTAATTCTGTAAGATGGATTCATGCGTTGTAAAGCAGTTTCACAGGTAGCTTTTATCTAGTTTTTATCGTGGGATATTCAGTTTATCAACATTGGCCTCAATAGCATTGAAATGACCCCGTGTAGATTTCACCAGAAAAGGTTTTTTAACTACTGAATCAAAGAACAGGATTACCTCTGTGAGATGAATCCACACATTGCAAAGTGGTTCACAGATAGCTTCTTTGTTGTTTTTATCATGAGGTATTCAGTGTTTCAACACTTGCATTAATGAGCTCCGAAATGTCCCTTTGTAACTTCCACAAGAAGAGTGTTTCCAACCAGCTGAATCAAAAGAAAATTTTTACTATGTGAGATGAATCCAAACATTGCAAAGCAGTTTCTCAGATAGCTGAATTCTTTTTATCACAAACTATTCAGTTTTTCACCCTTTGCCTCAATAGGCTCCAAAATGTCCCTTTGTAGATTCCACAAGAATAATGTTTCCAACCTGCTGAATCAAAAGAAAGTTTTATCTCTGTGAGATGAATGCACATATCATAAAATGGTTTCACAGTTATATTCTTTCTAGTTTTTATTGTGGGGTATTCAATTTTCACCATTGTCCTCAATAAGCTCTGAAATGTCCCTTCCACAGATCTCACAGCAGTTTCACAGATGGCTTCTTTCTAGTTTTTCTCATGGGATTTGTGCTTTTCACCATTGGCATCAATAAGCTCTGAAATGTTCCTTCCTAGATTCTACAAAAAGATTGATTCTGGGGATAGAGCCAAGATGGCCGAATAGGAAGAGCTCCAGTCTACAGCTCCCAGCATGAGCGACACAGAAGATGTGTGATTTCTGCATTTCCAACTGAGGTACCAGGTTCATCTCACTGGGGAGTGTTGGATAGTGGATGCGGGACAGTGGGTGCAGTACACTGAGCATGAGCTGAAGCAGGGTGAGGCATCGCCTTACCTGGGAAGTGCAATGGGTCAGGGAATTCCCTTTTCTAGTAGAAGAAAGGGGTGACAGACGGCCCCTGGAAAATCGGGTCACTCCCACACTAATACTGCATTTTTCCAACAGTCTTTGCAAATAGCACAACAGGAGATAATATCCCGTGCCTGGCTTAGAGGGTCCTATGCCCATGGAGCGTTGCTCATTCCTAGCACAGCAGTCTGAGATCAATCTGCAAGGCGGCAGTGAGGATGGGGCAGGGGTGCCCACCATTGCCGAGGCTTGAGTAGGTAAACCAAGTGGCCAGGAAGGTTGAACTGGGTGGAGCCCACTGCAGCTTAAGGAGACCTGCCTGCCTCTGTAGACTCCACCTCTGGGGTCAGGGCACAGACAAACAAAAGGCAGCAGCATCCTCTGCAGACTTAAATATCCCTGTCTGACAGCTTTGAAGAGAGTAGCGGTTCTCCCAACATGCAGCTGAATATCTGAGAATGGACAGACTGCCTCCTCAAGTGGGTCCCTGACCCCTGAGTAGCCTAACTGGGAGGCACCCCCAAGTAGGGGCAGACTGAAAACTCACACAGCTAGGTACTTCTCTGAGACAAAACTTCCAGAGGAATGATCAGGCAGCAACATTTGCTGTTCAAAAATATCCACTGTTCTGCAGCCTCCGCTGCTACCCAGGCAAAGAGGGTCTGCAGTTGACCTCCAGGAAACTCCAACAGACCTGCAGCTGAGCGTCCTGACTATTAGAAGGAAAACTAATGAACAGAAAGGACATCCACACCAAAACCCCATCTGTACATCACCATCATCAAAGACCAAAAGTAGATAAAACCACAAAGCTGGGGAAAAAACAGAACAGAAAAACTGGAAGCTCGAAAAATCAGAGCACTACTCCTCCTCCAAAAGAATGCAGCTCCTCACCAACAATGGAATAAAGCTGGATGCAGAATGACTTTGATGAGTTGAGAGAAGAAGGCTTCAGACAATCAAACTACTCCGAGCTAAAGAGGGAAGTTCTAATCCGTGGCAAAGAAGTTAAAAATCTTGAAAAAAATTTAGACGAATGGCTAACTAGAATAACCAATGCAGAGAAGTCCTTAAAGGACCTGATGGAGCTGAAAACCACTGCACAAGATTTCGTGATGAATGCACAAGCCTCAGTAGCCAATTCAATCAACTGGAAGAAAGAGTATCTGTGATGGAAGATCAAATGAATCAAATGGAGTGAGAAGATAAGTTTAGAGAAAAAAGAATAATAAGAAATTAACAAAGCCTCCAAGAAATATGGGACTATGTGAAAAGACCAAATTTACGTCAGATTGGGGTACCTGAAAGTGACAGAGAGAATACAACCAAGTTGGAAGTGACTAAGCAGGATATTATCCAGGAGCAATTCCCCAATCTAGCAAGGCAGGCCAACATTAAAATTCAGGAAATACAGAGAATGCCACAAAGATACTCCTCGAGAAGAGCAACTCCAAGACACATAATTGTCAGATTCACCAAAGTTGAAATGAAGGAAAAAATGTTAAGAGCAGCCAGAGAGAAAAGTCTGGTTAGCCACAAAAGGAAGCCCATCAGACTAACAGCTGATCTCTCAGAAGAAAATCTACAAGCCAGAAGAGAGTGGGGGCCAATATTCAACATTCTTAAAGAAAAGAATTTTCAACCCAGAATTTCATATCCAGCCAAACTAAGCTTCATAAGTGAAGGAGAAATCAAATCCTTTACAGACAAGCAAAGGCTGAGAGATTTTGTCACCACCAGGCCTTCCCTAAAAGAGCTCCTGAAGGAAGCACTAAACAGGGAAAGGCACAACCAGTACCAGCCACTGCAAAATCATGCCAAAAGGTAAAGACCATCAAGATTTGGAAGAAACTGCATCAACTAACGAGGAAAATAACCAGCTGACATCATAATGACAGGATCAAATTCACACATAACAATAGTAACCTTAAATGTAAATGGACTAAATGTTCCAAGTAAAAGACACAGACTGGCAAATTCGATAAAGAGTCAAGACCCATCATTGTGCTGTATTCAGGAAACCCATCTCACATGCAGAGACACAGGTAAGCTCAAAATAAAAGGATGGAGGAAGATCTACCAAGCAAATGGAAAACAAAAAAAGGCAGGGGTTGCAATCCTAGTCTCTGATAAGACAGACTTTAAACCAACAAAGATCAAAAGAGACAAAGAAGGCCATTACATAATGGTAAAGGCATCCGTTCAACAAGAAGAGCTAACTATCCTAAATATATATGCACCCAGTACAGGAGCAACAAGATTCATAAAGCAAGTCCTTAGAGACCTACAAAGAGACTTAGATGCCCACACAATAATGATGGGAGACTTTAACACCACACTGTCAACATTAGACAGATCCACGAGACAGAAAGTTAACAAGGATATACAGGAACTGAACTCAGTTCTGCACCAAGCAGACCTAATAGACATCTGCAGAACTCTCCACCCCAAATCAACAGAATATACATTCTTTTCAGGACCACACCACACCTATTCCAAAATTGACCACATAGTTGGAAGTAAAGCTCTCCTCAACAAATGTAAAAGAACAGAAATTATAACAAACAGTCTCTCAGACCACAGTGCAATCAAACTAGAACTCAGGATTAAGAAATTCACTCAAAACCGCTCAACTACATGGAAATTGAACAACCTGCTCCTGAATGACTACTGGGTACATAAAGAAGTGAAGGGAGAAATAAAGATGTTCTTTGAAACCAATGAGAACAAAGACGCAACATACCAGAATCTCTGGGACACATTCAAAGCAGTGTGTAGAGGGAAATTTATAGGACTGCATGCCCACAAGAGAAAGCAGGAAAAATCTAAAATTGACACACTAACATCACAATTAAAAGAACTAGAGAAGGAAGAGCAAACACATTCAAAAGCTAGCAGAAGGCAAGAAATAACTAAGATCAGAGCAGAACTGAAGGAAATAGAGACACAAAAAACCCTTTGAAAAATCAATGAATCCAGGAGCTGGTTTTTTTGAAAAGATCAACAAAATTGATGGACCACTAGCAAGACTAACAAGAAAAGAAGCAAGTTTCAAACAGATGCAATAAAAAATGATAAAGGGGATATCACCACTGATCCCACAGAAATACAAACTACCATCAAGGAATACTATAAACACCTCTATGCAAACAAACTAGAAAATCTAGAAGAAATGGATAAATTCCTCAACACATACAGCCTCCCAAGATTAAACCAGGAAGAAACTGAATCTCTGAAATAGACAAATAACAGGCTCTGAAACTGAGGCAATAATTAATAGCTTACCAACCAAAAAGAGTCAAGGACCAGATGGGTTCACAGTCGAATTCTACCAGAGATAAAAGAGTGAGCTGATACCATTCCTTCTGAAACTATTTCAATAAATAGAAAAAGAGGGAATCCTCCCTAACTCATTTTATGAGGCCAGCATCATCCTGATACCAAAGCGTGGCAGAGACACAACAAAAAAGAGAATTTTAGACCAAAGTCCCTGATGAACCTCAATACAGAAATGCTCAATAAAATACTGGCAAAGCGAATCCAGCAGCACATCAAAAAGCTTATCCACCATGATCAAGTGGGCTTCATCCCTGGGATGCAAGGCTGGTTCAATATATGCAAATCAATAAACGTAATCCAGCATATAAACAGAACCAATGACAAAAAACCTATGAATATCTCAATAAATGCAGAAAAGACCTTTGACAAAATTCAACAACCCTCCATGCTAAAAACTCTCAATAAATTAGGTATTGATGGGATGTATTTCAAAATAATAAGAGCTATCTATGACAAACCCACAGCCAATATCATAGTGAATGAGCAAAACCTGGAAGCATTCCTTTTGAAAACTGGCACAAGACAGGGATGCCCTCTCTCACTACTCCTATTCAACATAATGTTGGAAGTTCTGGCCAGGGCAATCAGGCAGGAAAAGGAAATAAAAGGTATTCAATTAGGAAAAGAGGAAGTCAAATTGTCCCTGTTTGCAGATGATATGATTGTATATTTAGAAAACCCCATCATCTCAGCCTAAAATCTCCTTAAACTGATAGGTAACCTCAGCAAAGTCTCAGGATACAAAATCAATGTGCAAAAATCACAAGCATCCTCATACACAAATAACAGACAAACAGAGAGCCAAATCGTGAGTGAACTCCCATTCACAATTGCTTCAAAGAGAATAAAATAGCTAGGAATCCAACTTACAAGTGATGTGAAGGACCTCTTCAAGGAGAAATACAAACCACTGTTCAATGAAATAAAAGAGGATACAAACAAATGGAAGAACATTCCATGCTCATGGGTAGGAAGAGTCAATATCATGAAAATGGCCATACTACCCAAGGTAATTTATAGATTCAATGCCATCCCCATCAAACTACTTATGATTTTCTTCACTGAATTGGAAAAAACTACTTTAAAGTTCACATGGAACCAGAAAAGAGCGCTCATCATGAAGTTAATCCTAAGCCAAAAGAACAAAGCTGGAGGCATCACGCTAGCTGACTTCGAACTATACTACAAGGCTACAATAACCAAAACAGCATGGTACTGGTACCAAAACGGAGATATAGATCAAAGGAACAGAACAGAGCCCTCACAAATAACACTGCATATCTACAACAATCTGATCTTCGACAAATCTGCCAAAAACAAGAAATGGGGAAATGATTCCCTATTTAATAAATGGTGCTGGGAAAACTGGCTAGCCATATGGAGAAAGATGAAACTGGATCCCTTCCTTACACCTTATACAAAAATTAATTCAAGATGGATTAAAGACTTTAACATTAGACCTAAAGCCATAAAAACCTTAGAAGAAAACCTAGGCATTACCATTCAGGACATAGGCATGGGCAAGGACTTCATGTCTAAAACACCAAAAGCAATCACAACAAAAGCCAAAATTGACAAATGGGATCTCGTTAAACTAAAGAGCCTCTGCACAGCAAAAGAAACTACCATCAGAGTGAACAGGCAACCTACAGAATGGGAGAAAATTTTTGCAATCTACTCATCTGACAAAGGGCTAATATCCAGAATCTACAATGAACTCAAACAAATTTACAAGAAAAAATTAACAACCCCATCAAAAAGTGGGCAAAATATATGAACAGACACCTCTCAAAAGAAGACATTTATGAGCCAAAAGACACATGAAAAAATGCTCATCATCACTGGCCATCAGAGAAATGCACATCAAAACCACAATGAGATACCATCTCACACCAGTTAAAATGGCGGTCATTAAAAAGTCAGGAAACAGCAGGTGCTGGAGAGGATGTGGAGAAATAGGAACACTTTTACGCTGTTGGTGGGACTTTAAACTAGTTCAACCATTGTGGAAGCCAGTGTAGTGATTCCTCCGGGATCTAGAACTAGAAATACCATTTGACCCAGCCATCCCATTACTGAGTATATACTCAAAGCATTATAAATCATGCTGCTATAAAGACACATGCAAACATATGTTTATTGCAACATATTCACAATAGCGAAGAGTTGGAACAAACCCAAATGTCCAACAATGATAGACTGGATTGAGAAAATGTGGCACATATACACCATGGAATACTATGCAGCCATAAAAAATGATGAGTTCATGTCCTTTGTAGGGACATGGATGAAGCTGGAAACCATCATTCTCAGCAAACTATCACAAGGACAAAAAACCAAACACCACATGTTCTCACTCATAGGTGTGAATTGAACAATGAGAAAACATGGACACAGGAAAGGGAACATCACACACTGGGGGCTGCTGTGGGGTGGGGGGAGGGGGGAAGGATAGCATTTGCAGATATACCTAATGTTAAATGACAAGTTAATTGATGCAGCACACCAACATGGCACATGTATACATATGTAACAAAACTGCACTTTGTGAACATGTACCCTAAAATTAAAATATAATAAAAAAAGTAAAAAGAAAGAATGATTCCAACCTGGTGAATAAAAAAAAAAAAGGTTTAAATCTATGAGATCAATCCACACATTGCAAAGCAGCTTCACCGATAGCTTCTTTTTAGTTTTTATTGCGGGCTATTCAATTTTTCACGATTGGCCTCAATGGTCTTTGAAATATCTTTTTGTAGATTCCACAGATAGAGTGTTTTCAACCTGACGAATCAAGAAAAGAAAAAGGTTTATCTCTGTGAGATGAATCCACACATCACAAAATGCTTTCACAGATATCTTCTAGTTTTTGTCGCAGGACATTTAATTTTTCATCATTGGCTTCAGTTGGCTCTGAAATGTCCCTTCACAGATTCAACAAAAAGAGTGCTTCCAATCTGCTTAATCAAAGGAAAGGTTTAACTCTGTGAAATGAATTCACGCATCACAAAGCGGTTTCACAGACAGCTTCATTCTACTTTTTAACGTGGGATATTGTTTTTTTGCATTGGCATCAATGGTCTCCTAAATGTGCCTCCATAGATTCCAAAAGAGAAGTCTTTCCAACCTCCTGAATCAAAAGAAAAGTTTAACTCTCTGAGGCGAATCCAAACATCATGAAGAGGTTTCACAGACAGTTTATTTCTGTGTGTGTGTGTGTGTGTGTGTTTGTGTGTGTGTGTGTGTGTGTTTTCATGAGATATTTCGTTTTTCACTATTATCCTCAATGGACTCTGAATTGTCCTTTTGTATATTCAACAAAAAGAGTGTCTCCAATCTGCTGAATCAACCAAAAGGTATAAATCTGTGAGATGAATTCTCACATCACAAAGCAGTTTCTCACATAGATTCTTTGTAGTTTTTATCATAGGATATTCTGTTTTTCATTAATGGTCCCAATGGGCTTCGAAAGGTACTTTCCCAGATTCCACAAAAAGAGTGTTTCCAACCTGATGAATCAAAAGCAAGGTTTAACTTAGTGAGATGAGTTTACACATCACAATGCTGTTTCCCAGATAACTTCTATGTTGATATTATCACGGGATATTTGTGTTTCCAACATTGGCCTCAATGGGCTCTGAAATGTCCCTTCATAGATTCCACAAACACAGGGTTTTCAACTGCTGAATCAATAGAAAGGTTTAACTCTGTGAGATATGTGCACACATTGTAAAGTGGTGGCATAGATGGCTTCTTTTTAGTTTCATCAGGGATATTGTGTTTTTCACCGCTGGCATCAATGGGCTCTGAAATGTCCCTACCTAGATTCCACAAAAGGAGATTCCAAACTGCTGATTCCAAAGCAAGGTATAACTCTGTGAGGTGGATCCACACATCACAAAGCAGTTCCATAGATAGCTTATTTCTATTTTTTTATCACCGGATTTTCACCATTGGCATTAAATGGCTCCAAATTGTCCCTTCATAGATGACACAGAAAGAGTGTTTCCAACTACTGAATCAAAAGAAAGTTCTACTCTGTGAGATGAATCCAAACATTGCTAAGCAGGTTATCCCATAGGTTCTTTCTAGTTTTTATTGTGGGATATTCAGTTTCCACCATTGGCCTCAAAGGGATCTGAAAAGACACTTTGTAGATTCCACAAAAAAGTGCTTCCAACCTGCTGAATCAAAATAAAGTTTTAACCCTGTGAGATAAATCCACACATCACAAACTGGTTTCACAGAGGGCTTCTATTTGTGTGTGTGTGTGTGGGGGGGGGGAATATTGTGTTTATCACCGTTAGCCTCAATGGGCTTTGAAATGTCCCTGCCTAGATTCCACTAAACAAGGTTTTCAAACCTGCTGAAGAAAAAGAAAGGCTTAACTTTGTGAGATGAATCCATGCATTGCAAAGCCATATGACAGATACCTTCTTTCTAGTTTTTATCATGGAATATTCAGTTTTTCACCACTGGCTTCAAAGGGCTTCAAAATGATTTTTTGTAGATTCCACAAAAAGAGTGTTTACAACCTGCTGAATCAAAAGTAAGATATAATTCTGTGACACAAATCCACATATCACAAAGGGGATTCACAGATAACTTCCTCCTACTTTTTATTTCAGGATTTTCAATTCTTCACCATAAGCCTCAATAAGCTCTGAAGTTTCCCTTTGTGGAATCCAAAAAAGGAGTGTTTCCAAGCTACTCAATCAAAAGAATGGTTTAACTATTTGAAGTGCATCCACACATCACAAAGTGGTTTCACAGATAACTTCCTTCTAGTATTTATCGTGGGATATTTGATTTTTCTGCCTTAGCCTAAATAGGCTCCAAAATGTCCCTTCATAAGTTTCACAAAAAAAGTATTTCCAAACTTCTGAATAAAAAAAAAAAAGGTTTAACTCTGTAAGATGAAACCACACATCACAAACTGGTTTCACACAGGATTTTGTAGTTTTTAATGGAGCATACACGGTTTTTCACCACTGGCCTCAATGAGCTCTGAAATGTTTCTTCATAGATCCCACAAAAATAGTGTTTTCAACTTGAAGAATCAAAATAAAGTTTTAACTCTGTGAGATTAATAAACAAATCCAAAGCGGTTTTATTTATTTATTTATTTTTTATTTTGTTTTATTATTTTTACACTTTAAGTTTTAGGGCACATGTGCACAATGTGCAGGTTAGTTACATATGTATACATGTGCCATGCTGGTGTGCTGCACCCATTAACTCGTCATTTAGCATTAGGTATATCTCTTAATGCTATCCCTCCCCCCTGCCCCCACCCCACACCGGTCCCCAGAGTGGGATCTTTCCCTTTCTGTGTCCATGTGTTCTGATTATTCAATTCCCATCTATGAGTGAGAACATGCGGTGTTTGGTTTTTTGTTCTTGAAATAGTTTACTGAGAATGATGATTTCCAATTTCATCCATGTCCCTACAAAGGACATGAACTCATCATTTTTTATGGCTGCATAGTATTCCATGGTGTATATGTGCCACATTTTCTTAATCCAGTCTATCATTGTTAGACATTTGGGTTGGTTCCAAGTCTTTGCTATTGTGAATAGTGCCGCAATAAACATATGTTTGCATGTGTCTTTATAGCAGCATGATTTATAGTCCTTTGGGTATATACCCAGTAATGGGATGGCTGGGTCAAATGGTATTTCTAGCTCTAGATCCCTGAGGAATCGCCACAATGACTTCCACAATGGTTGAACTAGTTTACAGTCCCAAAAACAGTGTAAAAGTGTTCCTATTTCTCCACATCCTCTCCAGCACCTGCTGTTTCCTGACTTTTTAATGATCACCATTCTAACTGGTGTGAGACGCTATCTCATTGTGGTTCTGATTTGCATTTCTCTGATGGCCAGTGATGATGAGCATTTTTTCATGTGTCTTTTGGCTGCATAAATGTCTTCTTTTGAGAGGTGTCTGTTCATATATTTTGCCCACTTTTTGATGGGGTTGTTTGGTTTTTTTCTTGTAAATTTGTTTGAGTTCATTGTAGATTCTGGATATTAGCCCTTTGTCAGATGAGTAGGTTGCAAATATTTTCTCCCATTTTGTAGGTTGCCTGTTCACTCTGATGGTAGTTTCTTTTGTTGTGCAGAGGCTCTTTAGTTTAATTAGATCCCATTTGTCAATTTTGGCTTTTATTGCCATTGCTTTCGGTGTTTTAGACGTAAAGTCCTTGCTCCTGCCTATGTCCTGAATGGTAATGACTAGGTTTTCTTCTATAGTTTTTATGGTTTTAGGTCGAACGTTTAAGTTTTTAATCCATCTTGAATTAATTTTTGTATAAGGTGTAAGGAAAGGATCCAGTTTCAGCTTTCTACATATGGCTAGCCAGTTTTCCCAGCACCACTTATTAAATAGGGAATCTTTTCCCTATTTCTGGTTTTTGTCAGGTTTGTCAAAGCTCAGATAGTTGTTGATATGCGGCGTTATTTCTGAGGGCTCTGTTCTGTTCCATTGATCTATATCTCTGTTTTGGTACCAGTACCATGCTGTTTTGGTTACTGTAGCCTTGTAGTATAGTTTGAAGTCAGGTACTGTGATGCCTCCAGCTTTGTTCTTTTGGCTTAGGATTGACTTGGCGATGTGGGCTCTTTTTTGGTTCCATATGAACTTTACAGTAGTTTTTTCCAATTCTGTGAAATAAGGCATTGGTAGCTTGATGGGGATGGCATTGAATCTATAAATTACCTTGGGCAGTATGGCCATTTTCATGATATTGATTCTTCCTACCCATGAGCATGGAATGTTCTTCCATTTGTTTGTATACACTTTTATTTCTTTGAGCAGAGGTTTGTATTTCTTCTTGAAGAGGTCCTTCACGTCCCTTGTAAGTTGGATTCCTAAGTATTTTATTCTCTTTGAAGCAATTGTGAATGGGAGTTCACTCATGATTTGGCTCTCTGTTTGTTGTTGGTGTATAAGAATGCTTGTGATTTTTGTACATTGATTTTGTATCCTGAGACTTTGCTGAAGTTGCTTATCAGTTGAAGGGATTTTACACTGAGACAGTGGGGTTTTCTAGATACACAGTCATGTCATCTGCAAACAGGGACAATTTGACTTCCTCTTTTCCTAGTTGAATACCCTTTATTTCCTTCTCCTGCCTGATTGCCCTGGCCAGAACTTCCAACACTATGTTGAATAAGAGTGGTGAGAGAGAACATCCCTGTCTTGTGCCAGTTTTCAAAAGGAATGCTTCCAGTTTTTGCCCATTCAGTATGATATTGGCTGTGGGTTTGTCATAGATAGCTCTTATTATTTTGAAATACATCCCATCAATACCTAATTTATTGAGAGTTTTTAGCATGAAGGGCTGTTGAATTTTGTCAAAGGGCCTTTCTGCACCTATTGAGATAATCATGTGGTTGTTGTCTTTGGTTTTGTTTATATGCTGGATTACATTTATTGATTTGCATATATTGAACCAGCCTTGCATCCCAGGGATGAAGCCCACTTGATCATGGTGGATAAGCTTTTTGATGTGCTGCTGGATTCAGTTTGCCAGTATTTTATTGAGGATTTTTGAATCAATGTTCATCTAGGATATTGGTCTAAAATTCTATTTTTTTGGTTGTGCCCAGCTTTGGTATCAGGATGATGCTGGCCTCATAAAATGAGTTAGGGAGGATTCCTTCTTTTTCTATTGATTGGATAGTTTCAGAAGGAATGGTACCAGTTCCTTCTTTTACCTCTGGTAGAATTTGGCTGTGAATCCATCTGGTCCTGGAGTCTTTTTGGTTGGTAATCTATTGATTATTGCCAGAATTTCAGATCCTGTTATTAGTCTATTCAGAGATTCAACTTCTTCCTGGATTAGTCTTGGGAGAGTTTATGTGTCAAGGAATTTATCCATTTCTTCTAGATTTCCTAGTTTATTTGCGTAGAGGTGTTTGTAGTATTCTCTGGTGGTAGTTTGTATTTCTGTGGGATCGGTGGTGATATCCCCTTTATCATTTTTTATTGCATTTATTTGATTCTTCTCTCTTTTTTTCTTTATTAGTCTTGCTAGCGGTCTATCAATTTTGTTGTTTGTTTCAAAAAACGAGCTCCTGGATTCATTACTTTTTTGAAGGGTTTTTTGTGTCTCTATTTTCTTCAGTTCTGCTCTGATCTTAGTTATTTCTTGCCTTCTGCTAGCTTTTGAATGTGTTTGCTCTTGCTTTTCTAGTTCTTTTAATTGTGATGTTAGGGTGTCAATTGTGGATCTTTCCTGCTTTCTCTTGTGGGCATTTAGTGTTATAAATTTCCCTCTAGACACTGCTTTGTGAAGGGGTGGGTTGCCCCTCCACACCTGTGGGTGTTTCTCATAAGGTGGAACGAGAGACTTGGGAAAGAAAAAGACACAGAGACAAAGTATAGAGAAAGAAATAAGGGGACCCGGGGAACCAGCGTTCAGCATATGGAGGATCCCGCAAGACTCTGAGTTCCCTTAGTATTTATTGATCATTCGTGGGTGTTTCCCCGAGAGGGGGATGTGTCAGGGTCACAAGACAATTGTGTGGAGAGGTTCAGCAGACAAACACGTGAACGAAGGTCTTTGCATCATAGACAAGGTAAATGATTAAGTGTTGTGCTTTTAGATATGCATACACATAAACATCTCAATGCTTTACAAAGCAGTATTGCTGCCCGCATGTCCCACCTCCAGCCCTAAGGCAGTTTTTCCCTATCTCAGTAGATAGAACGTACAATCGGGTTTTACACCGAGACATTCCATTGTCCAGGGACGGGCAGGAGACAGATGCCTTCCTCTTGTCTCAACTGCAAGAAGCATGCCTTCCTCTTATACTAATCCTCCTCAGCACAGACCCTTTACGGGTGTTGGGCTGGGGGACGGTCAGGTCTTTCCCTTCCCACGAGGCCATATTTCAGACTATCACATCGGGAGAAACCTTGGACAATACTGGCTTTCCTAGGCAGAGGTCCCTGCAGCCTTCGGCAGTTTTTGTGTCCCTGGGTACTTGAGATTAGGGAGTGGTAATGACTCTTAAGGAGCATGCTGCCTTCAAGCATCTGTTTAACAAAGCACATCTTGCACCGCCCTTAATCCATTTAACCCTGAGTTTGACACAGCACATGTTTCAGAGAGCACGGGGTTGGGGGTAAGGTTATAGATTAACAGAATATCAAGGCAGAAGAATTTTTCTTAGTACAGAACAAAATGGAGTCTCCTATGTCTACTTCTTTCTACACAGACACAGTAACAATCTGATCTCTCTTGCTTTTCCCCACACGTTGAATGTGTCCCAGAGATTCTGGTATGTTGTGTCTTTGTTCTCCTTGGTTTCAAAGAACATCTTTATTTCTGCCTTCATTTTGTTATGTACCCATTAGTCATTCAGGAGCAGGTTGTTCAGTTTCCATGAAGTTGAGCGGTTTTGAGTGAATTTCTTAATCCTGAGTTCTAGTTAGATTGCACTGTGGTCTCAGAGACAGTTTGTTATAATTTCTGTTCTTTTACATTTGTTGAGGAGAGCTTTACTTCCAACTATGTGGTCAGTTTTGGAATAGGTGTGGTGTGGTGCTGAAAAGAATGTATATTCTGTTGATTTGGGGTGGAGAGTTCTGTAGATGTCTATTAGGTCTGCTTGGTGAAGAACTGAGTTCAATTCCCGGGTATCCTTGTTAACTTTCTGTCTCGTGGATCTGTCTAATGTTGACAGTGGGGTGTTAAAGTCTCCTATTATTATTGTGTGGGAGTCTAAGTCTCTTTGTAGGTAACTAAGGACTTGCTTTATGAATCTTGTTGCTCCTGTACTGGGTGCATATATATTTAGGATAGTTAGCTCTTCTTGTTGAACGGATGCCTTTACCATTATGTAATGGCCTTCTTTGTCTCTTTTGATCTTTGTTGGTTTAAAGTCTGTCTTATCAGAGACTAGGATTGCAACCCCTGCCTTTTTTTGTTTTCCATTTGCTTGGTAGATCTTCCTCCATCCTTTTATTTTGAGCTTACCTGTGTCTCTGCATGTGAGATGGGTTTCCTGAATACAGCACAATGATGGGTCTTGACTCTTTATCGAATTTGCCAGTCTGTGTCTTTTACTTGGAACATTTAGTCCATTTACATTTAAGGTTACTATTGTTATGTGTGAATTTGATCCTGTCATTATGATGTCAGCTGGTTATTTTCCTCGTTAGTTGATGCAGTTTCTTCCAAATCTTGATGGTCTTTACCTTTTGGCATGATTTTGCAGTGGCTGGTACTGGTTGTGCCTTTCCCTGTTTAGTGCTTCCTTCAGGAGCTCTTTTAGGGAAGGCCTGGTGGTGACAAAATCTCTCAGCCTTTGCTTGTCTGTAAAGGATTTGATTTCTCCTTCACTTATGAAGCTTAGTTTGGCTGGATATGAAATTCTGGGTTGAAAATTCTTTTCTTTAAGAATGTTGAATATTGGCCCCCACTCTCTTCTGGCTTGTAGATTTTCTTCTGAGAGATCAGCTGTTAGTCTGATGGGCTTCCTTTTGTGGCTAACCAGACTTTTCTCTCTGGCTGCTCTTAACATTTTTTCCTTCATTTCAACTTTGGTGAATCTGACAATTATGTGTCTTGGAGTTGCTCTTCTCGAGGAGTATCTTTGTGGCATTCTCTGTATTTCCTGAATTTTAATGTTGGCCTGCCTTGCTAGATTGGGGAATTGCTCCTGGATAATATCCTGCTTAGTCACTTCTAACTTGGTTGTATTCTCTCTGTCACTTTCAGGTACCCCAATCTGACGTAAATTTGGTCTTTTCACATAGTCCCATATTTCTTGGAGGCTTTGTTCATTTATTTTAATTCTTTTTTTTCTAAACTTCCCTTCTCACTTCATTTCATTCATTTGATCTTCCATCACTGATACCCTTTCTTCCAGTTGATTGCATCAGCTCCTGAGGCTTCTGCCTTCTTCATGTATTTCTCGGGCCTTTGCTTTCAGCTCCATCAGCTCCTTTAAGCACTTCTCTGTATTGGTTATTCTACTTATACATTCGTCTAAATTTTTTTCAAAGTTTTCAACTTCTTTGCCTTTGGTTTGAATTTCCTCCTGTAGCTTGGAGTAGTTTGATCATCTGAAGCCTTCTTCTCTCAGCTCATCAAAGTCATTCTCCATCCAGCTTTTTTCCATTGCTGGTGAGGAACTGCATTCCTCTGGAGGAGGAGAGGCACTCTGCTTTTCAGAGTTTCCAATTTTTCTGCTCTGTTTTTTCCCCATCTTTGTGATTTTATCTACTTTTGGTATTTGAAGATGGTGATGTACAGATGGTTTTTTGGTGTGGATGTCCTTTCAGTTTGTTAGTTTTCCTTCTAACAGACAGGACCCTCAGCCAAGATGGCCGAAGAGGAACAGCTCCAGTCTACAGCTCCCAGCGTGAGCGATGCAGAAGACAGGTGATTTCAGTGCACCGTGCACCAGCCAATGCAGGGCGAGGTATTGCCTCACTCAGGAAGTGCAAGGGGTCAGGGATTCCCTTTCCTGGTCAAGGAAAGGGGTGACAGACAGCACCTGTAAAATCGGGCCACTCCCACCCAAATGCTGCACTTTTCCAAAGGGCTTAGGAAACGGCGCACCAGGAGATTATATCCCACACTTGGCTTGGAGGGTCCTATGCCCACGGAGTCTCACTGATTGCTAGCACAGCAGTCTGAGATCAAACTGCAAGGTGGCAGTGAGGCTGGGGGAGGGGCGCCTGCCATTCTCCAGGCTCACTTAGGTAAACAAAGCAGCCCAGAAACTTGAACTGGGTGGAGCCCACCACAGCTCAAGGAGGCCTGCCTGCCTCTGTAGGCTCCACCTCTGGGGGCAGGGCACAGACAAACAAAAATACATCAGTAACCTCTTCAGACTTAAATGTCCCTGTCTGACAGCTTTGAGGAAAGCAGTGGTTCTCCCAGCATGCAGCTGGAGATCTGAGAATGGGCAGACTGCCTCCTCAAGTGGGTCCCTGACCCCTGAGCAGCCTAACTTGGATGCACCCCCTGGTAGGGGCAGACAGACACCTCTGAGAAACTTCTTTGTGATGAGTGAATTCATCTCACAGAGTTGAACCTTTCTTTTGATTGAGAAGTTTGGAAACAGTCTTTTTGTAGAATCTGCAAAGGGATTTTTGAGAGTGCTTTGAGGCCTTTGGTGAAAAATGAAATATCTTCTCATAAAAACAAGACAGAAGCTTTGGAGAAACTTCTTTGTGATATGTGGATTCATCTTACTGAGTTGAACCTTTCTTTTGATTGAGCAGTTTGGAAACAGTCTTTTTGTATAATCTGCAGAGGGATATTTTGAGTAGTTTGGGGCCTATTGTGAAAAAGGAAATATCTTCACATAAAAACCAGACAGAAGCATTCAGGGAAACTCATTTGTGATGTGTGCATTCTTCTTAGAGATTTGAACATTTCTTTTGACTGATCAGATTAGAAACAGACTTTCTGTAGATTCTGCATGGGAAATTTGTGAGCAGTTTGAGGCATTTGGTGAAAAAAGAAATATCTTCACATAAAAACTAAACAGAAGCATTCTGAGAAATTTCTTTGTGATGTGTGCCTTCATCTCACAGAGTTGAACCTTTCCTTTGACTGATCAGTTTCGAAATAGTCTTCCTGTACAATCTGCTAAGGGATATTTCCGAGCAGTTTGAGGCCTATGGTGAAAAATAAATATCTTCACATAAAAACTAGACAGAAAATTTCTGACAAACTCCTTTGTGATGTGTGCTTTCATCTCACAGAGTTGAACCTTTCTTTTGATTGAGCTGTTTGGAAACAGTCTTTTTGTAGTATGTGCAAATGGATATTTGGAGCACAATGAGGCCTATGGTGAAAAAGGAAATATCTTCACATAAAAAATAGAGAATTGTTTTCTGAGAAACTTCTTTGTGATATGTGCATTCATCTCACTGAGTTGAACCTTTATTTTGATTAAGCAGTTTGGAAACAGTTTTTTGTGGATCTGCAAATGGAGATTTGTGACCCCATTGAGACCTATGGTGAAATAGGAAATATCTTCACATAAAAACTAGACAGAAGCATTCTAAGAAACTTCTTTTTGATGTATGCTTTCATCTCTAAGAGTTGAACATTTCTGCTGATTGAGAAGTTTGGAAACAGTGTTTTGTAGAATCTGAAAATGGATATTAGGAGAGCTTTGAAGCCTATGGTCAAAAAGGAATTATCTTCACATAAAAACTAGACTGAAGCTTTCTGAGAAATTTCTTTGTGATGTCTGCATTCATCTCAGAGACTAGAACTTCTCTTTTGATGACCAGTGTGTAAACAGTCTTTTTTTTATAATTTGCAGAGGGATATTTGTGAGCAGTTTGAGGTCTATGGTGAAAATGGAAATATCTTCACATAAAAACTAGACAGAAGCATTCCAAGAAACTTCTTTGTGGTCTGAGCATTCACCTCAGAGAGATGAACCTTTCTTTTGAATGAGCAGTTTGGAAACAGTTTTTTGTAGAATCTGCATAGAGGTATTTTGACCCTCTTCAGGCCTATGGTGAAATACGAAATATCTTCACATAAAAATTACATGGAAGGATTCTGAGAAACGTCTTTGTGATATGTGCTTTCATCTCACAGAGTTGAAACTTTCTTTTGATTGAGCAGTTTGGAAACTGTCTTTTTGAAGAATCTGCAAATGAATATTTGGAGCACTTTGAGTCCTACTGTGAAGAAGGAAATATCTTCACATAAAAACTAAACAGAACTTTTCTGAGAAACTTCTTTGTGATGTGTGCATTCATCTCACAGAGTTAAACCTTCCTTTTGTTGAGCAGTTTGGAAACAGTCTTTTTTTAATAACCTGCAGAGTGATATTTGTGAACGGTTTGAGGCCTATGGTGAAAATGGAAATATCTTTGCATAAAAACTAGACTGAATTCTGAGAAGCTGCTTTGTGATGTGTGCATTCATATCACAGAGTTCAACATTTCTTTTGATTGAGCAATTTTGAAACAGTTTCTTGTGGAATCTACAAAGGGATATTTGTGACCCCATTGAGGCCTATGGTGGAATAGGAAATATCTACACATACAAACTAGACCAAAGCATTCTGAGAAACTTCTTTGCAATGTCTGCTGTCTTCTCACACAGTTGAACCTTTCATTTGATTGAGAAGTTTGGAAACAGTCTTTTTGTATTATCTGCAAATGGATATTTGGAGTGCTTTGAGGCCTATGGTGAAAAAGGAAATATCTTCACATAACAACTAGACTGAAGCTTTCTGAGAAACTTCTTTGTGATGTGTGCATTCACCTCACAGAGTTGAAACTTTCTTTTGATTGAGAAGTTTCAAAACAGCCTTTTTGTAGAATCTGCAAATGGATATTTGTGAGTGGTTTGAGTCCTATGGTGAAAAAGGAAATATCTTCACATAAAAACTAGACAGACGTTTTTTGAGAAACTTCTTTGTGATTTGTGCATTCACCTCACAGAGTTGAACCTTTCCTTTGATTGAGCACTTTGGAGACACTCTTTTTGTACAATCTGCAAAGGGATATTTCTGAGCAGTTTGACACCTATGGTGAAAAACAAATATCTTCACATAAAAACTAGACACAAGTTTTTGAGAAAATTCTTTGTGATGTGTGCATTCATCTCACACAGTTGAAGGTTTCTTTCAACAGAGTAATTTGGACACAGTCTTTTTGCACAATCTGCAAAGGGATATTTCTGAGCAGTTTGAGGCCTATGGTAAAAAAGTAATATCTTCACATAAAAACTAGGCAAAAGGTTTCTGACAAACTTCTTTGTGATGTGAGCTTTCATCTCACAGATTTGAAGCTTTCCTTTGGTTGAGCAGTTTGGAAACAGTCTTTATGAAGAATCTGCAAATGGATATTTGGAACGCTTTGAGGTCTATGGTAAAAAAGGAAATATCTTCACATAAAAACTAAACAAAAGTTTTCTGAGAAACGTTTTTGTGATGACTGCATTCATCTCACAGAGTTGAACCTGTCTTTTGATTGAGCAGTTTGGAAACAATTGTTTTTTTCATAATCTGCAGAGGCATATCCGTGAGCGGTTTGAGGACTACAGTGAAAAAAGAACTATCTTCACATAAAAAATACTAGAAGCATTATGTGAAACTGCCTTGTGATTTGTGCATTCATCTCACAGAGATGAACGTTTATTTGGATTGGGCAGTTTAGAAACAGTTTCTTGTGGAATCTGCAAACGGATATTTTTGACCACATTGAGGCCTATGATGAAATAGGAAATATCTTCACATAAAAACTAGACAGAGGTATTCTGAGAAACTGCTTTGTGTTGTGAACTTTCATCTCACACAGTTGAACCTTTCATTTGATTGAGAAGTTTGGAAACAGTCTTTTTGTAGAATCTGCAAAAGGATATTTGGAGCACCTTGAGGCCTATGGTGAAAAAGGAAATATCTTCAAAAAAAAGTAGACAGAAACTTTCTGAGAAGCTTCTTGGTGATGTGTGCTTTCATCACACAGAGATGAACCTTTATTTTGATAGAGCAGTTTGGAAACAGTCTTTTTGTAGTATCTGCAAATGTATATTTGGAGCGCTTTGAGGCATATGGTGAAAAGGAAATATCCTCACATAAAAACTAAACAGAACATTTCTGAGAAACTTCTTTGTGATGCATGCTTTCATCTCACAGAGTTGAACATTTCTTTTGATTGAGCAGTTTGGAAACAGCCTCTTTGTTGAATTTGCAGATGGATATTTTTGAGCTGTCTGAGGCACGGGGTGAAAATGGAAATATCTTAATATAAAATCTAGATAGAAGCATTCTGAGAAACTTCTTTGTGATGTATGCTTTCATCTCACAGAGATGAACCTTTGTTTGATTGAGCAGTTTGGAAACGGTCATTTTGTAGAATCTGCAAAGGAATATTTGTGACCACAATGAGGCCTATGTTGAAATAGGAAATATCGTAACATAAAAACTAGACGGAAAAAGGGATGTAAAGGACCTCTTCAAGAAGAACTACAAACCACTACTCAATGAAAGAAAAGAGGATACAAACAAATGGAAGAACATTCCATGCTCATGGGTAGGAAGAGTCAATATCGTGAAATTGGCCATACTGCCCAAGGTAATTTATAGATTCATTGCCATCCCCATCAAGCTACCAATGACTTTCTTCACAGAATTGGAAAAAACTAATTTAAAGTTCATATGGAACCAAAAAGAAGCCCACATCACCAAATCAATCCTAAGCCAAAAGAACAAAGCTGGAGGCATCACGCTACCTGACTTCAAACTATACTACAAGGCTACAGTAACCAAAACAGCATGGTACTTGTACCAAAACAGAGATATAGATCAATGGAACAGAACAGAGCCCTCAGAAATAATGCCACATATCTACAACTCTCTGAGCTGTGACAAACCTGTGAAAAACAAGCAATGCAGAAAGGATTCCCTATTTAATAAATGGTTCTGGGAAAACTGGCTAGCCATATGTAGAAAGCTGAAACTGGATCCCTTCCTTACACCTTATACAAACATTAATTCAAGATGGATTAAAAACTTAAACGTTCGACCTAAAACCATAAAAACCTTAGAAGAAAACCTAGGCATTACCATTCAGGACATAGGCATGGGCAAGGACTTCATGTCTAAAACACCAAAAGCAATGGCAACAAAAGCCAAAATTGACAAATGGGATCTAATTAAACTAAAGAGCTTCCGCACAACAAAAGAAACTACCATCAGAGTGAACAGGCAACCTACAGAATGGGAGAAAATTTTTGCCAGCTACTCATCTGACAAAGGGCTAATATCCAGAATCTACAATGAACTCAAACAAATTTACAAGAAAAAAACAACCCCATCAAAAAGTGGGCGAAGGACATGGACAGACACTTCTCAGAAGAAGACATTTATGCAGCCAAAAAACACATGAAAAAAGGCTCAACATTACTGGCCATCAGAGAAATGCAAATCAAAACCACAATGAGATACCATCTCACACCAGTTAGAATGGCAATCATTAAAAAGTCAGGAAACAACAGGTGCTGGAGAGGATGTGGAGAAATAGGAACACTTTTACACTGTTGTTGGGACTGTAAACTAGTTCAACCATTGTGGAAGTCAGTGTGGCGATTCCTCAGGTATCTAGAACTAGAAATACCATTTGACCCAGCCATCCCATTACTGGGTATATACCCAAAGGACTATAAATCATGCTGCTATAAAGACACATGCACACGTATGTTTATTGCGGCACTATTCACAATAGCAAAGACTTGGAACCAACCCAAATGTCCAACAATGATAGACTGGATTAAGAAAATGTGGCACATATACACCATGGAATACTGTGCAGCCATAAAAAATGATGAGTTCATGTCCTTTGTAGGGACATGGATGAAATTGGAAATCATCCTTCTCAGTAAACTATCACAAGAACAAAAAACCAAACACTGCATATTCTCACTCATAGATGGGAATCGAACAATGAGATCACATGGACACAGGAAGGGGAACATCACACTCTGGGGACTGTTGTCAGGTGGGGGAGGAGGGAGGGATAGCTTTAGGAGATATACCTAATGCTAAATGATGAGTTAATGGGTGCAGCACACCAGCATGGCACATGTATACATATGTAATTAACCTGCACATTGTGCACATGTACCCTAAAACTTAAAGTATAATAATAATAAAATAAAAATAAAATAAAAACTAGACAGAAGCATCTGAGAAACTACTTTGTGATGTGTGCTTTCATCTCACAGAGTTGAACCTTTCGTTTGATTGAGAAGTTTGGAAACAGCTTTTTTGTAGAATCTGTAAATGGATATTTGGAGCGCTTTGAGGCCTATGGTGAAAAAGGAAATATCTGCACATAGAAACTAGACAGAAGCTTTCAGAGAAACTTCTTTGTGATGTGTGCATTCATCTCACTGTGTTGAAATTTTCTTTTGATTGAGCAGTTTGGAAACAGTCTTTTTGAAGTATTTGCAAATGGATATTTGGAGCGCCTTGAGTCCTATGGTGAAAAAGGAAATATCTTCACATAAAAACTAGACAGAAACTTTCTGACAAACTTCTTTCTGATGTGTGCTTTCTTCTCACAGTGTTGAATCTTTCTTTTGATTGAGCAGTTTGGAAACAATTTCTTATGGAATCAGCAAAGGGATAATTGTGACCCCATTGTGGCCTATGGTGAAATGGGAAATATCTTCACATAAAACTAGACAGAAGCATTCTGAGAAACTTCTTTGTGATGTGTGCTTTCATCTCATGGAGTTGAATTTTTCCTTTGATTGAAAAGTTTGGAAATAGTCTCTTCGTAGAATCTGCAAATGGATATTTGGAGTGCTTTGAGGCCTGTGGTGAAAAAGGATATATCTTAACATAAAAACTAGACTGAAGATTTCTGAGAAACTACTTTGTGATTTGTGCATTCATCTCACAGAGATGAATCTTTCTTTTGATTGAGCAGTTTGGAAACAGTCTTTTTGTAGAATCTGCAAATGGATATTTGGAGTGCTTTGAGGCCTGTGGGTAAAATGTAACTATCTTCAAATAAAAAGTAGACTGAAGCATTGTGAGAAATTTCCTTGTGATGTGTGCTTTCGTTTCGCACAGTTGAACCTTTCTTTTGGCTGAGCAGTTTGGAAAAAGTCTTTTTGAAGGATCTGCAAATGGACATTTGGAGCGTTTTCAGTCCTATGGTGAAAATGGAAATATCTTCACATAAAAACTAGACTGAAGAATTCTGAGAAACTTCTTTGTGATGTGTGCATTCATCTCACAGAGTTGAACGTTTCTTTTGATAGAGCAGTTTGGAAACAGTCTTTTTGTAGATTCTGCAGAGGGATATTTGTGAGCGGTTTGAGTTCTATAGTAAAAAAGGAAGTATCTTCACATAAAAACTAGACAGTCGATTTTTGAGAAATTTCTTTGTGATGTGTGCATTCTTCTCAAAGATTTGAACCTTTCCTTTGCTGGAGCAGTTTGGAAAGAGTTTTTTGTAGAATCTGCAAAGGGATATTTGTGACCTCATTGAGGCCTATTGTGAAACAGAAAATATCTTCACATAAAAACTAGACAGAAGCGTTGTGAGAAACTCCTTTGTGATGTGTGAATTCATCTCATAAAGTTGAAATTTTCTGTAGATTGAGAAGTTTGGAACCTGTCTTTTGGTATAATCTGTAAATGGATATTTGGAGCACTTTGAGGCTTATGGTGGAAAAGGAAATATGTTCAAATAAAAACTAGACTGACTCTTTCTGAGAAACTTCTTTGTGATGTGTGCATCCATCTCACAGAGTTGAACCTTTCTTTTGATTGAGCAGTTTTCAAACAACTATTTTTTGATAATCTGCAAGTGGATATTTGGAGCACCTTGAGGCCTATGGTGGAAAAGGAAATATCTTCATATAAAAACTAGACAGAAGCATTCTGAGAAACTGCTTTGTGATGTGTGCATTCAACTCACAGAGTTGAACCTTTCTTTTGATAGAGCAGTTTGGAAACAGTCTTTCTGTACAATCTGCAGGGGGATAATTCTGAGCGCTTTGTGTCCTATAGTTAAAAAGAAATATATACACACAAAAATTAGACAGAAGCTTTCTGGCATATTCTTTGTGATGTGTGCTTTCATCTCACAGAATGGAACCCTTCCTTGGATTGAGCAGTGTGGAAACAGGATTTTGTAGAATCTGCAAATGAATATTTGGAGCACTTTGGGGCCTATGGTGAAAAAGGGAATATCTTCACATAGAAAATAGATAAAAGTTTTCTAAGAAACTTCTTTGTCATGCGGGCATTCATCCCACAGTGTTGAAACTTTCTTTTGATTGATCAGTTTGGAAACAGTCTTTTTGTAGAATCTACAAATGGATATGTGGAGTGCTCTGAATCCTATGGTGAAAAAGGAAATATCTTCAAATAAAAACTAGTCAGAATCTTTCTGAAAAACTTCTTTGTGATGTGTGCATTCATCTCACAGAGTTGAACCTTTGTTTTGATTGAGCAGTTTTGAAACAGTCTTTTTGTAGAATTTTCAAAGGGATATTTGTGAGTGGTTTCAGGCCTATGGTGAAAAAGGAAATATCTTCACATGAAAACTAGACAGGAGCATTCTGAGAAACTTCTTTGAGATGTGCACATTCATCTCACATAGTTGAACTTTTCTTTTGATTTAGAAGTTTGGAAACAGTCTTTTTATAGAGTCTGCAAAGGTATATTTTTGAGCCCTCTGAGGCCCATGGTGAAAAAGGAAATATCTTCACTTAAAAACTAGACTGAAGCTTTCTGAGAAACTTCTTTGTGATGTGTGCATTCGTCTCACAGAATTCAACTTTCTTTTTATTAAACAGTTTGTAAACGTGTTTTTAGAGTCTGCAAATGATACCTGTGAGCCCTTTGTAGCCTATAGTGAAAAAGGAAATATGTTGAGATAAAAACTAGACAGAAGCTTTCTGAGAAACTACTTTCTGATGTGTGCGTTCATCTCACAGAATTGAAACTTTCTTTTGATTCAGCACTTTGGAAACAGTTTTTCGTAGAATCTGCAAAGGGATATTTGTGACCACTTTTAGGCCTATGGTGAAATAGGAAATATCTTCACATAAAAACTAGACGGAAGAATTCTGAGAAACTTCTTTCTGATGTGTGTGTTCATCTAACAGAGTTGAACCTTTCTTTTGATTAAGCAGTTTGGAAACACTCTTTTTGTAGTATCTGCAAATGGATATTTGGAGTGCTTTGAGGCCTATGGTGAAAAAGGAAATATCTTCACATAGAATGTAGGCAGAAGCTTTTTGAGAAACTACTTTGTCATGTGTGCATTCATCTCACAGTGTTGAACCTTTCATTTGATTGAGCAGTTTGGAAGCAGTCTATTTGAAAAATCTGCAAGTGGATATTTGGAGTGCTTTGAGTCCTATGGTGAAAATATATTCAAATTAAATATATTCAAATTAAATATATTCAATTTAATTGGAAATATTAAAGGAAATATATTCAAATTAAAACTAAACAGAAATTTTTTGAGAAACTTCTTTGTTATGTGCACATTCATCTCACAGAGTTGAACGTTTCTTTTGATTGAGAAGTTTGGAAACAGCCTTTTTTTAGAATCTGCAAATGGATATTTGGAGTGCTTTGCTGCCTGTGGTGAAAAAGGAAATATCTTCAAATAAAAACTAAATAGAATATTTCTGATAATCTTCTTTGTGATGTGTGCATTCATCTGACAGATTTGAAACTTTCTTTTGATTCAGCAGTTTGGAAACAGTCTTTTTTTATAATCTGCAGAGTAATATTTGTGAGCAGTTTGAGGTCTATGGTGAAAATGGAAACATCTTCACATAAAAGCTATACAGAAGCACTCTGAGAAACTTCTTTGTGATGTGTGCATTCATCTCAGTGTTGAACCTTTCTTTTGATTGAGCAGTTTATAAATAGTTTCTTGTGGAATCTACAAAGGGATATTTTTGACCCCATTGACGCCTATGGTGAAATAGGAGAATCTTCACATAAAAACTAGACAGAAGCATTCTGAGAAACTGCTTTGTGATGTGTGCTTTCAACTCACAGAGTTGAACTTTTCGTTTGATTGAGAAATTTGGGAACAGTCTTTTTGTAGAATCTGCAAATGGATATTTGGTGTGCCTTGACACCTATGGTGAAAAATAAAATACCTTCACGTAAAAACTAGACAGAAACATTCTGAGAAACTTCTTTGTGATGTGTGCATTCATCTCAGGGAGTCGAACCTTTCTTTAGATTGAGTAGTTTGGAAACTGTCTCTTTTTAGTATTTGCAGATGGATATTCATCAGTGGTTTCAGGCATATGGTGAAAATGGAAACATCTTCACATAAAAATTAGACAGACGCTTTTTGAGAAACTTCTTTGTGATGTGTGAATTCATCTCATGGAGTTGAACCTTTCTTTAGATTGAGCAGTTTGGAAACAGTTTTTCTAGAATCTGCAAAGGGATATTTGTGACCCCATTGAGGCCTATTGTGAAATAGGAAATATCTTTACATAAAAACTTGACAGAAGCATTCTGAGAAACTTCTTTGTGATGTGTGATTTCATCTCAGAGAGATGAATCTTTCTTTTGATTGAGCAGTTTGGAAACAGTCATTTTGTAGACTCTGCAAATGGATATTTGGAGCACTTTGAGGTCTATGGTGAAAAAGGAAATAACTTCACATAAAAACTGGACAGAAGCTCTCTAAGAATCTATTTGTGATGTGTGCATTCATCTCACAGATTTGAACTTCTCTGTTTGAGAATTTTGGAAACAGCCTTTTTTTTAGAATCTGCAGAGGAATATTTGTGAGTAGATTGAACCTTATTGTGAAACAGATAATATATTCACATAAAACGTAGGCAGATGCATTCTGAGAAACTTCTTTGTGATGTGTGCCTTCATCTCCCAGAGTTGAACTTCTCTTTTGATTGGGCAGTTTGGATATAGGACTCAAGGCACTCCAAATATCAATTTGCGGTTTCTACAAAAAGACTTTTTACAAACTACTCAATGAAAATAAAGTTTCAACTCCGTGAGATGAATGCACATGTCACAAAGAAGTTTCTCAGAATGGTTCTGTCTCGTTAGATGTGAAGATATAACTTTCTAACCATAGGCCTCATACTGCACAAAAAATCCCTTTGAAGATTGTACAAAAAGACTGCTTCCATACTCCTCAATCAAAAGAAAGGTTCAACTATGTGAGACGAAAGGACACATCACAAAGTAGTTTCTCAGAAACCATCTGCCCAGTTTTGATGTCAAGATATTTCTTATTACACTATAGGCTTCAAGGGACTCACAATTATCCCTTTGAACATTCTACAAAAAGACTGTTTCCAAACTGCTCAATCAAAAGAAAATTTCAACTCTGTGAGATGAAAGCACACATAACAAAGAATTTACTCAGAATGCAATGTTTCCAAATTGCTCTATCAAAAAGAAATGTTCAACTCTATGAGATGAAAGCAGACATCAAAAAGAAGTTTCTCAGAATGCTTCTATCTAGTTTTTATTTGAAGATATATATTTTTCACCATACACCTCATAGTGCTCCAAATATCCCTTGGCAGATTCTACAAAAAGAGTGTTTCAAAACTGCTCAATCAAAAGAAATTTTCAACTCTGTGAGATGAAGTCACGCATCACAAAGAAGTTTCTCAGAAAGCTTCTGCCTAGTTTTTATGTGAAGATATTTCCATTTCCCCATAGGTCTCAACTCGTTCACAAATATATCTTTACAGCTTCTCCAAAAAGAACTTTTCCAAACTGCTCAATCAAAAGAAAGGTTCAACTATGTGAGATGAATCCACACATCAAGAAGAAGTTTTTCAGGAAGCTTCTGTCTAGTTTTTATGTGAAGATATTTCTTTTTTCAGCATATTCCTCAAAACGCTACAATTATCCATTTGAAAATTTTTCAAATGCACTGTTTCCAAACTGTCAATCAAAAGAAAGCTTTGTCTCTATGAGATGAAAGCACATATAACAAGGAAGTTTCTCAGAAAGTTTCTGTCTATTTTTTATGTGAAGATATTTCGTATTTCACCATATGCCTCAATGGGCTGAAAATTATCCCTCTGCAGATTCTACAAAAAGACTGTTTCCAAATGGCTGAATGAAAAGAAAGGTTCAACACTGTGAGATTAATGAAAATATCACAAAAAGTTTCTCAAGAAGATTCTGTCTAGTTTTTATGTGAAGATGTTTCCTTTATCATAGGCCTCAAACCGCTCAAAGATATCCCTCTGCACATTCTACAAAAAGACTGTTTCCAAACTACTCAATCAAAAGAAATGTTCAACTCTGTGAGATGAATGCACACATCATGAAGAACTTTCTCACAAAGCTTCTGTCTAGTTTTTATATGAAGATATTTTCTTTTTCACCATAGGCCTCAAAGCACTCCAAATATCTATTTGCAGATTCTGCAAATGACTGTTTCCAAACTTCTCAATCAAAAGAAAGGCTCAACCCTGGGAGATGAAAGCACACATCACAAAGAAGTTTCTCAGAAAACTTCTGTGTGTTTTTATGTCAAGATATTTCCTAATACACCATGGGCCTGAAAGGGCTCCCAAATATACCTCTGCAGATTCTACAAAAAGACTGTTTACCAACTGCTCAATGAAAGGAAAGATGCAACTATGTGAGGTGAATGCACACATCACAAAGAAGTTTCTCAGAAAGCTTTTGTCTAGCTTTTATGTGAAGATATTTCTTTTTCACCACTGCCCTCAAATGGCTCAGAAACACCCTTTGCAGATTGTAACAAAAAGCCTGTTTCCAAACTGCTCAATGAAAAGTAAGTTTCAACTCTATGAGTTGAATGCAAACATCGCAAAGAAATTTCTGAAAAACTGTCTAGTTTTTATGTGTAGATATTTCCTATTTCACCATAGGCCTCAAAATATCCCAAATATCCCTTTCCAGGTGCTACAAAAAGACTGTTTCCAAACTGCTCTATCAATAGAAAGGTTCAACTCTCTGAGACAAAAGCACACATCACAAAGGAGTTTCACAGAATGCTTCTGTCTAGTTTTTATTTCAAGATATTTATTGTTCACCATAGGCCTCAAAGTGCTCCAAGTATTCCTTGGCAGATTCTACAAAAAGATGGTTTCAAAATGGCTCAATCAAAAGAAAGGCTAAACTCTGTGAGATGAAGGCACACATCACAAAGAAGTTTCTCAGAAAGCTTCTGGCTAGTTTTTATGTGAAGATATTTCCTTTTTCACCATAGGCCTCAAAGCTCCCCAAATATCCATTTGCAGATACTACAAAAAGACTGTCTCCACACTACTCAATCAAAAGAAAGCTTCAACTCTGTCAGATGAATGCACATATCATAAAGTAGTTTCTCAGAAAGCTTCTGTCTACTTTTTATGTGAAAATATTTCCCTATTCACCACAGGCCCCAAAGCCCTCCAAACATCCCTTTGGAGAATCTATAAAAACACTGTTTAAAAACTGCTCAATGAAAAGAAAGGTTCAAATCTCTGAGATGAATGCACATATCACAAATAAGTTCCTCAGAAGATTCTGTCTAGTTTTCATGTAAAGATATTTCCATTTTCACCATAGGCCTCAAAGCACTCCAAATATCCATTTGCAGATTCTACAAAAAGACTGTTTCCAAACTGCTCACTCAAAAGAAAGGTTCAAATCTGTGAAATTAAAGCACACATCACAAAGAAGATTCTCAGAATGCTTCTTTCCAGTTTTTATGTGAAGATATTTCCTATTACATCATAGGCCTCAACGGGGTCACTAATATCCCTTTGAAGATTCTACAAAAAACTGTTTCCATCCTGCTCAATCAAAGAAAGGTTCAACTCTGTGAGATGAATGCACACATCACAAAGAAGTTTCTCAGAAATCTTCTGTTTAGTTTTTATGTGAAGATATTTCCATTTTCACCATAGACCTCAAAGCACTCCAAATATCCATTTGCAGATCCTACAAAAAGACTGTTTCAAAACTGCTCACTCGAAAGAAAGGTTCAACTCTGTGAAATGAAAGCACACATCACAAAGAAGATTCTCAGAATGCTTCTTTCTAGTTTTTATGTGAAACTATTTCCTATTACATGATAGGTCTCAACGGGGTCACAAATATCCCTTTGAAGATTCTACAAAAACTGTTTCCAAACTGCTCAATCAAAGAAAGGTTCAACTCTGTGAGATCAATGCACACATCACAAAGAAGTTTCTCAGAAATCTTTTGTTTAGTTTTTACGTGAAGATATTTCCTTTTTCACCATAGGCCTCAAAGTACTCAAAATATCCCTTGGCAGATTCTACAAAAAGACTATTTCCAAACTGCTTAAGAAAGGAAATTTTCAACTCTTTGAGATGAATGCACACATCACAAAGAAATTTCTCAGAAAGCTTCTTTCTAGTGTTTATTTGAAGATATTTCCTTTAACACCATAGGCCAAAAATTGCTCAAAATATCACTTTGCAGATCCTCAAAAAGGCTGTTTCCAAACTGATCAATAAAAGGAAATGTTCAAGTCTGTGAGATGACAGCACACATCACAAAGAAGTTTCTCAGAAAGCTTCTGTCTAGTTTTTATGTGAGGATATTTCCTTTTCCACCATAGGCATCAAAGAGCTCACAAATATCCCTTTGCATATTCTACAAAAAGACTGTTTCCAAACTGACCAATCTAAAGAAAGTTCCACCTCCATGAGATGAGTGTACATATCCCAAATAAGATTATCAGAAACCTTGTGTGTACTTTTTATGTGAAGGTATTTCCTTATTCATCACAGGCCCCACGGCACTCCAAATATCCCTTTGCAGAATCTACGAAAAGACTCTTTCTAAACTTCTCAATTTAAAGAAAGTGTCAACTCTAGGAGATAAATGCACACATCAGAAAGAAGTTCTGCAGAATGCTTCTGTCTAGTTTTTTTTTTTTTTTTTCCGAGATATTTTCTTTTTCACCATGGGACTCAAAGAGCTCCAAATGTCCATTGGGAGATTCTACACAAACACTATTTCCAAACTGCTCAATCAAAACAAAGTTTCAAATCTGTGAGATGAAAACATCCATCACAAGGGAGTTTCCCAGAAAGCTTCTGTCTAGTTCTTATGTGAAGATTGTCCTTATTCGCCATAGGCCTCAAAGCACTCCAAATATCCCTTTGCAGATTCTACAAAAAGACTGTTTCCAAACCACTCAATGAAAAGAAATGTTCAACTCGGTGAGATGAATGCACACATCTGAAAGACATTTCCCGGAAAGCTTCTGTCTAGGTTTCATGTGATGATATTTCCTTTTTTATCATCGGTCTCAAAGGGGTCACAAATATCTCTTTGCAGATTCTACAAAAAGACTGTTTCCACACTGATCAATGAAAGGAAATATTCAAATCTGTGAGATGGAAACACATATCACAAAGAATTTTCTCAGCAAGATTCTCCCTAGTTTTTATGTGAAGATATTTCCTGTTTCACCATAGGCCTCAAACCACTCACAAATATCCCTTTGCAGATTCTACAAAAAGACTGTTTCCAAACTGCTCAATGAAAAGAAAGGTTCAACTACATGAGATGAAAGCACACATCACAAAGAAGTTTCTCGGAAAGCTTATATATGGTTTCTATACGAAGACATTTCCTTTTTCACAGTAGGCCTCAAAGCACTCCAAATATCCCTTTAAAGATTCTACAAAAAGACTGCTTCCAAACTCCTCAATGAAAAGAAAGGTTCAACTCTGTGAGATGAATGCACACATCACTAAGACGTTTCTCAAAATGCTTCTCTCTGGTTTTTATGTGAAGATATTTCCTTTTTTACGATGGGCTTCACAACACTCACAAATATCCCTTTGCAGACTCTACAAAAAGACTGCTTCCAAACTGCTTGATAAAGAAATGTTCAACTCTGTGAGATGAGTGGACACCTCACAGAGAAGTTTCTCAGAAATATTCTATCTAGTTTTTATGTGATGATATTTATTTTTTCACCATAGGCCTCAAATTGCTCAATACATCTCCTTGCAGATTCTACAAAAAGACTGTTTCCAAACTGCTCAATCAAAAGAAAGCTTCAACACTGTGAGGTGAATGCACACATCACAAAGAAGTTTCTCAGAAAGCGTCTGTTTACTTTTTATGTGAAGATATTCCTTTTTTCACCATACACCTAAAAGTGATCCAAATATCCCTTGGCAAATTCTTCAATAAGACTGTTTCCAAACTGCTCAAACAAAAGAAATGTTCAACTCTGTGAGATGAATGCACACATTACAAAGAAGTTTCTCAAAAAGCTTCTGACTAGTTTTTATGTGAAGGTATTTCCTTTTTCACCATAGGCCTCAAAGCACTCTAAGTATACATTTGGAGATTCTACAAAAAGACTTTTTCCAGACTGCTTAATGAAAAGAAAGGTGTGAGCTGGTAAGATGAATGCACCCATCACAAAGAAGTTTCTCAGAAAGCTTCTGTCTAGTTTTTATGTGAATATTTTCTTTATTCTCCATAGGCCTCAAAGCACTCCAAATATCCCTTTGCAGATTCCAGAAAATGACATTTCCAAACTGCTCAAGGAAAAGAAAGGTTCACCTCTGTGAGGTGAATGCACACACCACAAAGTAGTCTCTCAGAAAGCTTCCATCTATGTTTTATGTGAAGACATTTCCTTTTTCACCATAGGCCTCAAAGTGCTCCAAATATCCCTTTACAGATTCTCCAAAAAGACCCTTTCCAAACTACTCAATGAAAAGAAAGGTTCAACTCTGTGAGATGAAAGCACACATCCCAAACAAGTTTCTCTGAAAGCTTCTGTCTTGTCTTTATGTGAAGATATTTCCTGTTCCATCATAGGCCTCATACAGCCTACAAACATTCCTTTGCAGATTCTACAAAAAGACTCTTTCCAAACTGCTCAATCAAAAGAAAGTTTCACCTCTGTGAGATTAATGCACACATCACAAAGAAGTTTCCCAGAAAGCTTCTGTCTAGTTTTATTGTGAAGATATTTCCTTTTTCACCATAGGCCTCAAAGGCATCAAAAATATCCCGTAACAGATAACTCAAAAAGACAGTTTCAAAACTGATCTACCAAAAGAAAGTTTCAATTCTTTGAGATGAATTCTCACATCACAAAGAAGTTTGTCAGAAAGCTTCTGTCTGGTTTTTATGTGATTATATTTCCTTTTTCACAATAGTCCTCAAACCGCTCACAAGTATCCCTTTGGAGATTCTACAAAAAGACTGATTCAAGACTACTCAGTCAATAGAAATTTTCAACCTGTGAGATGAATTCACACATCACAAGAAGTTTCTTAGAATGCTTCTGTCTAGTTCTTATGTGAAGATATTTCATTTTTCACCATAGGCATCAAAGGGCTCAAAAATATCCCTTTGAAGAATCTACAAAAAAATGTTTCCAAACTGGTCATTAAAAATAAAACTTCAACTATGTGAGATGAATGCACACATCACAAAGAAGTCTCTCAGAAAGCTTCTATCTAGTTTTTATGGGAAGATATTTCCTTTTTCACCATAGCCCTCAAACCACCTAGAAAAATCCCTTTGCAGATTGTACAAAAAGAGTGTTTCCAAATTACTCAGTCAAAAAAAGTTTCAACTCTGTGAGATCAAAGTACACATCACAAAGAAGTTTCTCAGGAAGCTTCTATCTTGTTTTTATGTGAAGATATTTCCTCTTTCACAATAGGCCTCAAACCGCCTAGAAATATCCCTTTGCAGATTCTAAACAAGACTGTTTCCAAACTGCTCAATGAAAAGAAAGCTTCAAATCTTTGAGATGTGTGCACACATCACAAAGAAGTTTCTCAGAAAGCTTCGGTCTAGTTTTTATGTGAAGATATTTCCTTTTTCACAATAGGCCTCAAAGCAGTCACAAATATCCCTTTGCAGATTCTAAAAAAAAGAATGATTCCAAACTGGTCAATCAAAAGAAAGTTTCAACTCTGTGAGGTGAATGCAGACATCACAAAGAAGTTTCTCAGAAAGCTTCTGTCTAGTTTTTATGTGAAGATATTTCCTTTTCCACAATAGGCGTCAAACCGCTCACAAATCTCCCTTTGCAGATTCTACAAAAAGACTGTTTACAAACTGCTCAATCAAAAGAAAGTTTCAACTCTGTGAGATGAATGCACAAATCACAAAGAAGTTTCTCAGAAAGATTCTGTCTAGTTTTTTTACAAAGATATTTCCTTTTACAACACAGGGAAAAAGTGCTCCAAATATTCCTTGGCAGATTCTACAAAAAGACTGTTTGCAAACTGCTAAATCAAAAGAAAGGTTCAACTCTGTGAGATGAAGGCACACATCACAAAGAAGTTTCTCAAAAAGCTTCTGTCTAGCTTTTATATGAAGATGTTTCCTTTTTCACCATAGGCATCGAACCGCTCACAAATATCCCCTGGCAGATACTACAAAAAGACTGTTTTCAAACTTCTCAATCAAAAGAAATGTTCAAATATGTGAAGTCAATGCACACATCACAAAGAAGTTTCTCAGAAAGCTTCTGTCTAGTTTTTATATGAAGGTATTTCCTTTTTCACCATAGGCATCAAAGTGCTGCAAATATCTCTTTGCAGATTTTACAAAAAGACTGTTTCCAAACTGATCCATCAAAAGAATGGTTAAATTATGTGAGGTGAATACATACATCACAAATACATTTCTCAGAAAGCTTCCATCTACTTTTTATGTGAAGATATTTCCTTTTTCACCATAGGTCTCAAATGGCTCACAAATATCCCTTTGCAGATTCTACAAAAAGACGGTTTCCAAATTACTCAATGAAAGAAAGGTTTAACTCTTTGAGTTTAATGCACACATCACAAGGAAGTTTCTGAGAAATCTTCTGTCTAGTTCTTATGTGAAGATATTTCTTTTTTCACCACAGGCCTCAATGCACTCCAAATATCCCTTTGTGGATTCTACAAAAGACTGTTTCCAAACTGCTCAATCAAAAGAAAAGTTCAAATTTGTGAGATGAAAGCACACAACACAAAGTAGTTTCTCAGAAAGCATCTGTCTAGTTTTTATGCAAAGATATTTACTTTATCATCATAGGCTTCAAGGGCTCATAGATATTCCTTTGCAGACTGTACAAAAAGATGGTTTCCAAACTCCTCAATGAAAAGAACGGTTCAAATCTGTGAGATGAATGCACAGATCACAAAGAAGTTTGTCAGAAATCTTCTGTCTATTTTTTATGTGAAGATATTCCCTTTTTCACCAAAGGCCTTAAATTGATCGAAATATCCTTTGGAAGATTCTACAAAAAGACTATTTCCAAACTGCTGAATGAAAAGAAAATTTCAACTCTGTGAGATGAATACACACATCTTAAAGAAGTATCTCAAAAAGCTTCTGTCTGGTTTTTATGTGAAGATATTTCTTTTGTCACCTTAGGCCTCAACGTGCTCCAAATATTCCTTTGCAGATTCTACAAAAGACTGTTTCCAATAGCCTCAATCAAAAGAAAGGTTCAAATCTGTGAGATGATTGCACAAATCACAAATAATTTTCTCAGAAAGCTTCTTTCTAGTTTTTAAGTGAAGAGATTTCCTTTTTCACCATAAGCCACAAACACTCACAAATATCCCTTTGCAGATTCTATGAAAAGACTATTTCCAAACTGCTCTACTGAGAGAAACTTTCAACTCTGTGAGATGAAAGCACACATCACAGAGAAGTTTCTGAGAAAGCTTCTGTCTAGTTTTAACGTGGAGATATTTGTTTTTTCAACATAGGCCTCAAAGGCTCACAAATATCCCTTTGCAGATTCTACAAAAAGACTGTTTGCAAACTCCTCAATCAAAAGAAAAGTTCAACTCTGTCAGATGAATGCACACATCACAAAATGTTTCTCATAATCCTTTCTAGTTTTTGTGTGGAGATAATTCCTTTTTCATCATAGGCCACAAACCGCTCACAAATATCCCTTAGCAGATTCTACAAAAAGACTGTTTCCAAACTACTCAATCAAAAGAAAGGTTCAACTTTGTGAGACGAATGCACACATCACAAAGAAGTTTCTCAGAAAGCTTCTGTCTAGTTTTTATGTGAAGATATTTCCTTTTTCACCTTAGGCCTCAAACAGCTCAAAAATATCCCTTTGCAGATTCAAGAAAATGACAGTTTCCAAACTGCTGAATCAAAAGAAAAGTTCAATTCTGTGAGATGAATGCACACATGACAATGAAGTTTCTCAGAAAGCTTCTATCCAGTTTTACCTGAAGATATGCCTTTTTCACCTTAGGCCTCAAAGCGCTCCAAATATCCATTTGCAGATACTACAAAAAGACTGTTTCAAAACTGACCAATCAGAAGAATGGTTCAAACCTGTCGGATGAAAGCACCCAACACAAAGAAGTTTCTCAGAAAGCTTCTGTCTAGTGTAAATGTGAAGATATTTCCTTTTTCAACATAGGCCAAAGTGGTCTCACAAATATCCATTTGCAGATTCTACAAAAAGACTGTTTCCAAGCTGCTTAATCAAAAGAAAATTTAACTCTGTGAGATGAATGCACATATCACAAAGAATTTTCTCAGAATACATCTGTCTAGTCTTTATGGGAAGATATTTCCTTTTTCACCATAGGCCTCAAACAGCTCACAAATATCCCTTTGCAGATTCTACAAAAAGACTGTTTCCAAACTGCTTAATCAAAAGAAAGTGTCAACTCTGTGAGACGAATGCACACATCAAAAAGAAGTTTCTCAGAAAGTTTTTGTCTGGTTTATATTTGAAGATATTTCATCTTTCATCATAGGAGTCACCCTGCTCCAAGTATCCCTTTGCAGATTCTACAAGAAAGTATGTCCAAACTGATCAATCAAAAGAAATGTTCTACCCTGTGAAATGAAAACACACACCACAAAGAAGTTTCTCAGAAGGATTCTGTCTAGTTTTTATGTGAAGATATTTCCCTTTTCACCTTAGGCCTCAAAATGCTCCAAATATCTATTTAGAGATTCTACAAAGAGACTGTTTCCAAGCTGCTCAATCAAAAGAAAGGCTCAACTCTATTAAATGAATGCATGGTTCACAGACAGGTTACTCAGAAAGCTTTTGTCTAATTTTTATGTTGAGATATTTCCTTTTTCACCATGGGCCTCAAAGCGTTCCAAATATCCTCTTGCAGATTCTGCAAAAAGACTGTTTGCAAACTGCTCAATGCAAAGAAATATTCAACTCTGTGAGATGAAACCCACATCACAAAGAAGTTTCTCATAAATTTTCCATCTAGTATTTTTGTGAAATTTTCCTTATTTTTCAGAGGAATCAAGGTACTCCAAATATCATTTTGGAGATTCTACAAAAAAACTGTTTCCAAACTGCTCAATCAAAAGAAAGGTTCCACTCTGTGGGAGGAATGCACACATCACAAAGAAGTTTTGCAGAAAGTGTCTGTCTAGTCTTTATGTGAAGATATTTCCTATTTCACCACAAGCCTCAAAGAGTTCGCAAATATCCCACTGCAGATTCTACAAAAAGATGGTTTCAAAATTGCTGAATCAAAAGAAAGGTTCAACTCTGTGAGATGAATGCAAACATCACAAAGAAGATTCTCAAAATGATTCTGTCTAGTTTTAATGTGAAGACATTTCCTTTTTCACCATATGCTTCAAACTGCTCACAAATATCCCTTTGCAGATTCTACAAAAAGACTGTTTCCAAACTCCTCAATGAAAAGAAAGGTTCAACTCTGTGACATGAAAGCACACATCATAAAGAAGTTTCTCAGAAAGTTTCTGTCTAGATTTTATGTGAAGATATTTCCTTTTACACCATAGGCTTCAAACCATTCACAAATATCCTTCAGCAGATACTACAAAAAGACTGTTTCCATACTGCTCAATCAAAGGAAAGCTTCAACGCTGTGAGATGAAAGCACACATAAAAAAGAAGTTTCTCAGAAACCTTACGTGTAGTTTTTATGTGAAGATATTTCCTTTTTCAACATAGGCCTCAAGTTCTCCAAAAATCCATTTGCAGATTCTACAAAAAAACTGTTTCCAAACTGCACAATCAAAAGAAAGGTTCAATTCAGTGACATGAAAGTAAACATCACAAAGCAGTTTCCCAAAAAGCTTCTGTCAAGTTTGTATGTGAAGATATTTCCTATTTCACCGCAGGCCTCAAAGGGCTCAGAAATATTCCTTTGCAGATTGCACTAAAAGACTAAATATCTTCACAGAAAAACTAGAAAGAGGCATTCTGAGAAACTACTTTGTGAAGTGTGCATTCAACTCACAGAGTTGGACATTTCTGTTGATTCAGCCGTTTGCAAACAGTCTTTTTGTAGTATCTGCAAATGGATATTTGGAGTGCTTTGATGCATTTGGTGGAAAAGGAAATCTCTTCACATAAAAACTAGACGGAAGCATTCTGAGAAACTTCTTTATGATGTGTGCATTGATCTCACAGAGATGAATCTTTCTTTTGGTTGAGCATTTTTGAAACAACCTTTTTGTAGAATCTACATGTGGATATTTGGAGTGCTTTTTGGCCTACGGTGGAAAAGGAAATATCTTCAAATAAAACCTAGACAGAAGTATTTTGAGAAACTTCTTTGCCTTGTATTCATTCAACTCACAGAGTTGAACCTTTCTTTTAATTGCGCAGTTTGGAAACAGTCTTTTTGTAGTATTTGCAAATGGATATTTGGAGCACTTTGAGGACTATGGCGGAAAAAGAAATATCTTCACATAAAAACTAGACAGAAACATTCTGCGAAACTTCTTCGAGATGTGTGCATTCATCTCACAGAGTCGAACATTTCTTTTGATTGAGCAGTTTTGAAAAGCTCTTTTTGTAGAATCTGCAAATGGATATTTGGAGTGCTTTGAGGCCTATGGTGGAAAAGGAAATGTCTTCACATAAGAACTAGACAGAAGCATTCTCAGAAACTTCTTTGTGATGTGTGCATTGATCACACAGAGATGAATCCTTCTTTGATTGAGCATTTTTGAAACACTCTTTTTGTAGAATCTGCATGTGGATATTTGGAACACTTTTTGGCCCATGGTGGAAAGGAAATATCTTCAAATAAAAATTAGACAGAAGCATTCTGTGAAACTTCATTTTGATGTGCACATTCATCTCACAGAGTTGAACATTTCTTTTGATTGAGCAGCTTTGAAACATGCTCTCTGTAGAATCTGCAGGTGGATATTTGGAGCACTTTGAGGCCTGTGGTGGAAAAGGAAATATCTTCACATAAAAACTAGACAGAAGCATTCTGAGAAACTTCATTGTGATGTGTGCATTCAACTCACAGAGTTCGACCTTTCTTTTGATTGCGCAGTTTGGAAACTGTCTTTTTGTAGTATTTGCAAATGGATATTTGGAGCACTTTGAGGACTGTGGTGGAGAAGGAAATATCTTCACATAAAAACTAGACAGAAACAGTCTGAAAAACGTCTTCTTGATGTGTGCATTCATCTCACAGAGTTGAACCTTTCTTTTGATTGAGCAGTTTTGAAACACTCTTTGAGTAGAATCTGAAGTGGATATTTGGAGCGCTTTGAGGCCTATGGTGCAAAAGGAAATATCGTCACATAAAAACTAGACCGAAGGATTCTTAGAAACATCTTCATAATGTGTGCATTCAAATCACAGAGTTAAACATTTCTTTTGATTGAGCAGTTCGGAAACACTCTTTTTGTAGAATCTGCAAGAAGATATTTGGAAAGCTTTGAGGCCTAAGGCGGAGAAGGAAATATCTTCACATAAAAACTAGATAGAAGCCCTCAGAGAAACTTCTTTGTGATGTGTGCATTCAACTCACAAAGATGAACCTTTCTTTTGATTGAACAGTTTGGAAACAGTCTTTTTGTAGTATCTGAAAATGGATATGTGAAGCGCTTTGAGGCCTATGGTGGAAAAGGAAATATCTTCACATAAAAACTAGACAGAAGCATTCTGAGAAACTTCTTTGTGATATGTGCATTCATCTCACAGAGATGAACTTTTCTTTTGATTGAGCAGTTTGGAAACAATATTTTTGTAGAATCTACAAGCAGATATTTGGAGCACTTTCTGGCCTATATTGGAAAAAGAAATATCTTCAAATAAAAACTAGACAGAAATATTCTGATAAATTTCTTTGTGATGTGTGCTTTCACTTCACAGAGGTGAAACTTTCTTTTGATTGAGAAGTTTTGAAACACTCTTTTTGTAGAATCTGCGAGTGCATATTTGGAATGCTTTGAGGTCTATGCAGGAAAAGGACATATCTTCAGATAAAAACTAGACAGAAACATTCTGAGAAACTTCGTTGTGATGTGTGCATTCAATTCACAGAGTTGAACCTTTCTTTTGACTGAGCAGTTTAGAAACACTCTTTCTGTAGAAACTACAAGTGGATATTTGGAGCACTTTCGGACCTATGGCGGAAAAGGAAATATAATCACATAAAAACTAGACAGAAGTATTCTGAGAAACTTCTTTGTGAGGTGTGCATTCAACTCACAGAGTTGAACATTTCTTTTGATTGAGCAGCTTGGAAACAGTCTTTTTGTAGTGTCTGCAAATGGATATCTGGAGCGCTTTGAGGCCCATAGCTGAAAAGGAACTATCTTCACATAAAAACTAGATAGAAGCCCTCAGAGAAACTTCTTTGTGATGTGTGCATTCAACTCACAAAGATGAACCTTTCTTTTGATTGAACAGTTTGGAAACAGTCCTTTTGTAGTATCTGAAAATGGATATGTGAAGCGCTTTGGGGCCTATGGTGGAAAAGGAAATATCTTCACATAAAAACAAGACAGAAGCATTCTGAGAAACTTCTAGTGAAGTGTGCATTCATCTCACAGAGTTGAACCATTCTTTTGATTGAGCAGTTTTGAAACACTCTTTTTGTAGAGTCTGAAAGTGGATGATTGGAGCGCTTTGTGGCCTATGGCAGAAAAGGAAATAGCTTCACATAAAAACTAGACAGAAGCATTCTGAGAAACTTCTTTGTGATGTGTGCTTTCAATTCAAAGAGTTGAACCCTTCCTTTGATTGAGCAGTTTGGAAACTGTGTTTTTGAAGAATCTGCAAGTGGGTATTTGGAGCACTTTGAGGCCTATAGTGGAAAAGAAAATATCTTCACATAAAAACTAGATGGAAGCATTTTGAAAAACTTCTCAGTGATGTGTGCATTCAACTCACAGAGCTGAACCATTCTTCTGACTGAGCAATTTGGAAACAGTCTTTTTGTGTTATCTGCAAATGGATAATTGGAGCAGTTTTAGGCCTACAGTGGAGAAGGAAATGTCTTCGCATAAAAACTAGACAGAACCATTCTGAGAAACTTCTTTGTGATGTGTGCATTCATCTCACAGAGTTGAAACTCTCTTTTGATTGAGCATTTTTGAAACACTCTTTTCGCAGTGTCTGCAACTGGATATATGGACCACTTTGAGGCCTGTTGAGGAAACGGAAATACCTTCACATACAAACTAGACAGAAGCATTCTCAGAAACTTCTCTGTGATGTGTGCATTCAACTCACAGCGTTGATCCTTTCTTTTGATTGAGAAGTTTGGAAACAGTCATTTTGTAGTATCTGCAAATGGATATTTGGAGCACTTTGAAGCCTATGGTGAAAAGGGAATATCTTCACATAAAAACTAGACAGAAGCATTCTGAGAAACTCCTTTGTGGTGTGCATTCATCTCACTGAGTTGAACCTTTCTTTACATTGAGGAGTTTTGAAACACTCTTTGTAGAATCTGCAAGTGGATATGTGGAGCTCTTTCAGTCCTACAGTGGAAAGGATATATCTTCATATAAAAACTAGACAGAAGCATTCTGAGAAACTTCTCTGTGATGTGTGGATGGAACTCACAGAGTTGATCCTTTCTTTTGATTGAGCAGTTTAGAAACAGTCATTTTGTAGTATCTGCAAATGGATATTTGGAGCGCTTTGAGGCCTATAGTGGAAAAGGAAATAGCTTCACATAAAAACTAGGCAGAAGCTTTCTCAGAAACTTCTTTGTGATGTGTGCATTTATCTCAGAGAGATGAAACTTTCTTTTGATTGAGCAGTTTTGAAATACTCCTTTTGTAGAATCTGCAAATGGATATTTGGAGTGCTTCGAGTCTTATAATGGAAAAGGAAATATCTTCATATAAAAACTAACCAGAAGCATTCTCAGAAATTTATTTGTGATGCCTGCATTCATCTCACAGAGTTGAACATTTCATTTGATTTAGGAGTTTGGAAAGAGTCTTTTTGAAGTATCTGCAAATGGATATTTGGAATGCTTTGAGGCATATAGTGGAAAAGGAAATATCTTCACATAAAAAATAGACAGAAGCATTCTGAGAAACTACTTTGTGATGTGTGCATTCATCTCACAGAGTTGAAACTTTCTTTTGATTGAACAGTTCTGAAACCCTCTTTTTGTAGTATCTACAAAAGTATATTTTTAGCTCTTTGAGGCTTACAGTGTAAAATGAAATATCTTCCCATGAAAACTAGACAGAAGTATTCTGAGAAACTTCGTTGTGATGTGTGCATTCATCTCACAGAGTTGAACCTTTCTTTTGATTGATTAGTTTTGAAACATTCTTTTTATAGAATTTTCAAGTGAGTATTTTGACCACTTTGATGCATATAGTGCAAAAGCAAATACGTTCACATAAAAACTAGACAGAACCATTCTGAGAGAGTTCTTTGTGATGTGTGTATTCAGCTCACACAGTTGAACCTGCTTTATGATTGAATAGTTTTGAAGCTCTCCTTCTTTAAATCTGCAAGTGGATATTTGTAGCACTTTGTGGTGTACAGTGGAAAAGAAAATATCGTCACATAATCGCTAGACAGAAGCATTCAGATAAACTTCTTTGTGATATGTGCCTTCAACTCACAGAGTTGAAACTTTGTTTTGATTGTGCAGTTTGGAAACAGTCTTTGTAGTATCTGAAAATGGATATTTGGATGCGTTGAGGCCTAAAGTAGAAATAGGAATATCTTCACATAAAAACTAGACAGAAGCATTCTGAGAAACTTCTTTGTAAAATGTGCATTATACTCACACAATTGAACTTTTCTTTTGATTCAGCAGTTTTGAAACACTCTTTTTGTGTAATCGGCAAGTGGATATTTGGAGCGCTCTGCATTATTGAGTGGAAAAGAAATATTTTCACATAAGAACTAGAGAGAAACATTCTGAGAAACTTCTTTGGGATGCATGCATTCATCTCACAGATTTGAAAGTTTCTTTTGATTGAGCAGTTTGGAAACACTATTGTTGTAGAATATGCAAGTGGATATTTGGAGCGATTTTTGGCCTATGGTGGAAAAGGAAATATCTTCACGTAAAAACTAGACAGAAACATTCTGAGAAACTTCTTTTTGATTTGTGCATTCATCTCACAGAGTTGAAACTTTCTTTTGATGGAGTAATTTGGAAACAGTCGTTATGTAGAATGTGCAAAGGGATATTGATGAAACCATTGAGGCTTATGGAGAAATAGGAAATATCTTCACATAAAAACTAGACAGAAGCTTTCTGGGAAACTCCTTTTTGATGTGTTCTTTCATGTCACAGAGTTGAAACTTTCTTTTGATTGAGCAGTTTGTAAACAATCTTTTTGTAGAATCTGCAAATAGATATTTGGAGTGCTTTGAAGCCTGTGGTGAAAAAAGAAATATCTTCACGTGAAAAAGTAAATATCTTCACATGAAAACTAAACAGTAACATTCTGAGAAACTTCTTTGTGATGTGTGCATTCATCTCACAGATTTGAACCTTTTTTTTTATTGAGCAGTGGGGAAACTGTCTTTTTTTATTATCTTCAAGTGGGTATTTGGAGTGATTTGAGGACTATGGTAGAAAAGATAACATTTTCATTTAAAAACTAGACAGAAGCATTCTGAGAAACTTCCTTTGTGATGGCAGCATTAATCTCACAGAGTTGAAATTTTCTTTTGATTGAGCTGTTTTGAAGCACTCCTTTTGTACAATCTCCAGGGGGTTATTTGGAGGGCTTTGGGGCCCATGGTGGGAAAGGAAATATCTTCACATAAAAACTAGACAGAAGCATTCTCAGAAACTTCTTTATGATTTGTGCATTCATCTCACAGAATTGAACATTTCTTTTCATTGAGCAGATTTGAAACACTCTTTTTGTAGTATCTGCAAATGGATATTTGGAGCCCTTTGAGGCTTACAGCTGAAAAGGAAATACCTTCACCTAAAAACTAGACAGAAGCATTCTGAGAAACTTCTCTGTGACATGTGCATTCATCTCACAGAGTTGAAACTGTCTTTTGATTGAGCAGTTTTGAAACACTCTTTTTGTAGAATCTGCAAATGGATATTTGGAGCACGTTAAGGCCTATGGTGGAAAAGGAAATATCTTTACATAAAAACTAGACAGAAGAATTCCAGAAACGTCATTGTGATGTGTGCATTCATCTCACAGAATTGAAACTTTCTTTTTATTGAGCAGTTTGGAAACACTTTTTTATGTAGAATCTGCAAGAGGATATTTGGAGCGCTATGAGGCCTCTGGTGGAATAGGACATACCTTCACATAAAAACTAGACAGAAGGATTCTGAGAAACTTCTTAGTGTTGTGTGCATTCAACTCACGGATTTTAACCTTTCTTTTGATTGAGCAGTTCGGAAACAGTCTTCTAGTAGTATCTGCAAATGGATATGCCGAGCTTTTTGTGGTCTATAGTGGAAAATGAAATATCGTCACATAAAAACAATACAGAAGAAGTCTGAGAAACTTCTTTGTGATGTGTGCATTCACCTCACAGAGGTGAAGTTTTCCTTTGATTGAGCAGTCGTGAAACACTCTTTTTATAGAACCTGTAAGTGTATTTTTGGAGCGCTTAAAGGCTTATTGTGGAAAAGAAAATATCTTCACCTAAAAACTAGGCAGAAGCATTCTCCAAAACTTCTTTGTGATGTGTGCGTTTAACTCACAGATTTGAACATTTCTTTTGATTGAGCAGTTTGGAAACACTCTCTTTTAGTATCTGCAAATGGATCTTTGGAGCGCTTTGAGGTCTATAGCTGAAAAGGAAATATCTTCACATAAACACTAGACAGAAGTATTCTGAGAAACTTCCTTGTGATATGTGCATTTATCTTACAGAGATGAAACTTTCTTTTGATTGAGTAGTTTTGAAACACTCTTTTTGTAGAATCCACAAGTGGATACTTGGAGTGCTTTGAGGCCTATGGTGGAAAAGGAAATATCTTCACATAAAAACTGGACAGAAGCATTCTCAGAAACTAGTTTGCAATGCTTGCATTCATCTCAGAGAGTTGAAACTTTCTGTTGATTGAGCAGTTTTGAAACACTCTTTTTGTAGAATCTGCAAGTGGATATTTTGTTCCCTTGGAGGCCTGCATTGGAAAACGAAATATCTTCACATAAAAACTAGACAGACAAAGTCTGAGAAACTTCTTTGTTATGTGTGCATTCATCTCGCAGAGTTGAACCTTCCTTTTGACTGAGCAGTTTTGAAACACTCTTTTTGTAGAATCTGCAAGTGGATATTTGGAGCGCTTTGAGGCCTCTGATGAAAAAGGAAATATGTGCAAATAAAAACTAGACAGAAGCATTCTGAGAAACTTCTTTGTGATGTCTACATTCATCTCACAGGGTTGCACCTTTGCTTTGATTGAGCCGTTTTGAAACACTCTTTTTGAAGAATCTGCAAGTGAATATTTGGAGCGATTTTGCCTCTGGTGGAAAAGGAAATATCTTCATATTAAAACTAGACAGAAGTATTCTCAGAAACTTATTAGTGATGTGTGCATTAAACTCACAGAGTTGAAACTTACTTTTGATTGAGCATTTTGGAAACATTCTTTTTGTAGTATCTGCAAATGGATGTTTAGAGTGCTTTGACGCCTACAAGTGAGAAGGAAATATCTTCACATAAAAACTAGACAGAAACATTCTCAGAACCTTCTTTGTTATGTGTGAGTTCATCTCACAGGGTTAAACCTCTTCTTTGATTGAGCAGTATTGAAACACTCTTTTTGTAGAATCTGCAAGTGGATATTTGGAGCACTTTGAAGCCTGTGGTAGAAAAGTAAATATCTTCAGATAAAAACTAAACAGAAGCATTCTGAGAAACTTCTTTGTGATGTATGGATTCATCTCACAGAGGTGAATCTTTCCTTTGATTGACCTGTTTTGAAACACTCTTTTTCTAGAATCTGTAAGTGGATATTTCATGCGCTTTGAGGCTTATGGTGAAAAAGGAAATAAATGCAAATAACAACTAGACAAAAACATTCTGAGAAACTTCTTTGTGATGTCTGCATTCATCTCACAGAGTTGAACCTTTCTTTTGATTGAGCCGTTTTGAAACACTCTTTTTGTAGAATCTGCATGTGTATATTTGGAGCACTTTGAGGCCTATTGTGGAAACAGATATATCTTCACATAAAAACTAGACAGAAGCATTCTCAGATACTTCTGTGTGATGTGTGCATTCATCTCACAGAGTTGAACCTTTCCTTTGATTGAGCAGTTTGGAAACATTCTTTTTTTGTATCTGCAAATGGATATTTGGGGCGCTTTGAGCCCTATAGCTGTAATGGAAATATCTTCACATAAAAACGGTACAGAAACATTCTGAGAAACTTCTTTGTGATGTGTGCATTCGTCTCATAGAGTTGATTCTTTCTTTTGATTGAGCAGTTTTGAAACACTCCTTTTGTAGAATCTGCAAGTGGATATTTGCAGCGCTTTGAGGGTTACAGTGGAAAAGGAATTATCTTCACATAAAATCTAGACAGAAGCATTCTCAGAAACTTCTTTGTGATTTGTGCATTCAACTCACAGAGTTCAACCTTTCTTTTGATTGAGCAGTTTGGAAACACTCTTCTTGTAGTATCTGCAAATGGATATTTGGAGCACTTTGAGGCCTATAGCTGAAAAGGAAATATCTTCACATAAAAACTAGACAGAAGCATTCTGAGAAACTTCTTTGTGATGTATGAATTCATCTCACAGAGTTGAACTTTTCCTTTCATTGACCCCTTTTGAAACACTCTTTTTGTAGAAACTGGAAGTGGATATTTGGAGCACTTTGAAGCCTTTGGTGAAAAAGGAAATATGTGCAAATAAAAACTAGACAGAAGCATTCTGAGAAACTTCTTTGTGATGTCTGCATTCGTCTAACAGAGTTGAACCTTTCTTTTGATTGAGCCGTTTTGAAACACTCTTTTTGTAGATCTACATGTGTATATTTGGAGCACATTGAGGCCTACTGTGGAAATGGATGTATCTTCACATAAAAACTAGACAGAAGCATTCTCAGATACTTCTGTGTCATGTGAGCATTTATCTCACGGAGTTGAACCTTTCTTTTGATTGAGCAGTTTCAAAACACTTTTTTGGAGTATCTGCAAATGGATATTTGGAGTGATTAGAGGCCTGTAGCAGAAAGGGAAATATCTTCTTATAAAAACTAGACAGAAGCATTCTGAGAAACTTCTTTGTGATGTGTGCATTCATCTCACAGAGTTGAACCTTTCTTTTCTCTGTGCAGTTTTGAAACACTCTTTTTGTAGAATCTGCAAGTGGATATTTGGAGCACTTTGATGCCAATGGTGAAAAAGAAAATATCTTCACATAAAAACTAGACAGAAGCATTCTCTGAAACTTCGTTTTGATGTGTGCATTCATCTCACAGATTTGAATATCTCTTTTGATTGAGCAGTTTTGAAACATTCCTTTGTAGAATCTGCAAGTGGATGTTTGGAGCACTTTGGGGCCAATTGCGGAAGAGGAAATATCTTCACATAAGAACTAAACAGAAGCATTCTCAGAAAGTACTTTGTGATGTGTGCATTCAACTCACAGAGCTGAACTTTCCTTTTGATTGAGCACTTTGGAAACACTCTTATTGTACTGTCTGAAAGTGGATATTTGGAGCGTTTTGAGGCCTGTAGCAGAAAAGGAAATGTCATCACATAAAAACTAGACAGAAGCATTCTGAGAAACCTCTTTGTGATGTGTGCGTTCATCTCAGAGAGTTGAACCTTTCTTTTGATTGAGTAGTTTTGAAACACTCTTTTTGTAGAGTCTGCAAGTTTATATTTGGAGCACTTTGAGGCCTATGGTGGAAAAGGAAATATCTTCAAAAAAAAAACTAGACAGAAGCATTCTCACAAACACCTTCGTGATATGTGCATTCAACTCAGAGTTGAACATTTCTTTTGATTGAGCATTTTGGAAACACTCTTTTTGTAGTATCTGCAAATGGATATTTGGAGCACTTTGAGGCCTATAGCTGAAAAGGAAATATCTTCACATAAAAACTAGACAGAAGTATTCTCAGACAATACTTTGTTATGAGTGCATTCAACTCACAGAGTTGATACTTTGTTTTGATTGAGCAGTTTGGAAACACTCTTTTTGTAGTATCTACAAATAGATATTTAGAGGGCTGTGTTGCCAATGGTGGAAAAGGAAATATCTTCACAAAAAAAATTGACAGAAGCATTCTGAGAAACTTCTTTGTGATGTGTGCATTCACCTCACTGAGTTGAGCCTTCCTTGTAGTTGAGTAGTTTTGGAACACTCTTTTTGTAGTATCTGCAAGTGGATATTTGGATCACTTTGAGGCCTATGGTGGAAAAGGAAATATCTTAACGTAAAAACTAGACAGAAGCATTATCAGAAACTTCTTTTTGATGTGTGCATTCAACTCACTAAGTTGAACCTTTCTTTTGATTGAGAAGTTTGGAAACACTCTTTTTGTAGTGTTGGCAAATGGATATTTGGAGCACTTTGAGGCCTATGATGGAAAAGGAAATATCTTCACATAAAAACTAGACAGAAGCATTCTCAGAAACATCTTTGTGATGAGTGCATTCAACTCACAGAGTTGAACTTTTCTTTTGATTGAGCAGTTTGGAAACACTCTTTTTGTAGTATCTGCAGATGGATACTTGGAGCGCTTTGAGGTCTATAGCTGAAAAGGAAATATCTTCACTTAAAAACTAGAGAAAAGCATTCTGAGAAACTTCTTTGTGATGTGTACATTCATCTCACAGAGTTGAAACTTTCTTTTTATTGAGCAGTTTTGAAACACAGTTTTTGTAGTATCTGCAATTGGATATTTGGAGCGATTGTGACTCTCGTGGTAAAGGAAATATCTTCATATTAACACTAGACAGAAGCATTTTCAGAAACTAGTTAGTGTTGTGTGCATTCAACTCGCAGAATTGAATTTCTCTTTTGATTGAACATTTTGGTAACACTCTTTTTGTAGTATCTGCAAGTGGATATTTGAAGCACTTTGAGGACTATGGTGTAAAAGGAAATATCCTCACATAAAAACTAGACAGAAGCATTCTCAGAAACTTCTTTGTGAAGTGTGCATTCAACTCACAGAGTTCAACCTTTCTTTTGATTGAGCAGTTGGAAACACTATTTTTGTAGTATCTGCAAATGGACATTTGAAGCGCTTTGAGGCCTATAGCTGAAAAGGAAATATCTTCATATAAAAAGTATACAGAAGCATTCCGAAAAACTTCTTTGTGATGTGTGCATTCATCTCACAGAGTTGAACCTTTCTTTTGATAGAGCAGTTTTGAAACACTCTTTTTTAAGAATCTGCACGTGGATATTTGGAGCGCTTTGAGGCCCATTTTGGAAAATAAAATATCTTCAAATAAAAACTAGGCTGAAGCATTCTCAGAAACTACTTTGTGATGTGTGCATTCAACTCACAGAGTTGAACCTTTCTTTTGATGGAGCAGATTGGAAACACTCTTTCTGTAGTATCTGAAAATGGATATTTGGAGCACTTTGGGACCTAAAGCTGAAAAGGAAATATCTTCACATAATAACTAGACAGAAGCATTCTGAGATACTGCTTTGTAATGTGTGCATTCATCTCACAGAGTTGAAGCTTTCTTTTGTTTGAACAGTTTTGAAACACTCTTTTTGCAGTATCTGCAAAAGGATATTTGGAGCGCTTTGAGGCCTATAGCTGAAAGGGAAATATGTTGACATAAAAACCAGACAGAAGCATTCTGAGAAACTCCTTTGTCGTAAGTGCACTAATCTCAGAGAGTTGAACTTTTCTTTTGATTGAGCAGTTTTGAAATGCTCTTTTTGTAGAAACTGTAAGTGGATATTTGGAGTGCATTGAGGAATATTGTGGAAAAGGAAATATCTTCAAATAAAAACTAGACAGAAGCATTCTCAGAAACTCCTTTGTGATGTGTGCATTCACCTAACAGAGTTGAATCTTTCTTTTGATTGTGCAGTTTTGAAACACTCTTTTTATAGAATCTGCAAGTGGATATTTGGAGGGCTTTGAGGCCTATGGTGGAAAAGGAAATAACCTCACATGAAAACTACACAGAAGAATTCTCAGAAACTTCTTTGTGATGTGTGATTTCAACTCACAGCGTTGAAACTTTCTTTTGATTGAGCAGTTTGGAAACACTCTTTCTGAAGTATCTGCATATGGATATTTGGAGCACTTTGAGGCCTATAGCTGAAGAGGAAATATCTTCACATTAAAACTAGACAGAAGCACTGTGAGAAACTTCTTTGTGATATTTGCATTTATCTCAAAGAGTTGAACATTTCTTTTGATTGAGCACTTTTGAAACACTCTTTTTGTAGAATATGCAAGTGGATATTTGGAGCGCTTTGTGGCCTATTGTGGAAAAGGAAGTATCTTCACGTGAAAACTAGACAGAAGCATTCTCAGAAACTTCTTTGTCATGTCTGCATTCAACTCACAGAGTTGAACATTTCTTTTGATTGAGCAGTTTGGAAACACTCGTTTTGATGTATCTGCAAATGGATATTTGGAGCGCTATGAGGCTTATAGCTGAAAAGGAAATATCTTCACATAAAAACTAGACAGAAGCATTCTGAGAAACTTCTTTGGGATATGTGCATTCATCTCACGGAGTTGAAACTTTGTTTTGATTGAGCAGTTTTGAATCACTCTTTTTGTAGTATCTACAAATTTATATTTGGATCGCTTTGAGGCCGACAGCTGAAAAGGAAATATCTTCACCTAAAAACTAGGCAGAAGCATTCTGAGAAACTTCTTTGTGATGTGTGCATTCTGCTTAAAGAATTGGACCATTCCTGTGATTGAGCAGTTTTGGAACACTCTTTTTGTAGAATCTGCAAGTGGATATTTGGAGCGCTTTGAGGCCTATGGTGGAAAAGGAAATATCTTCAAATAAAAACTACACAGAAGCATTCAGAGAGACTTCTTTGTGAGGGGGGCGTTCAACTCACAGTCTTGAACATTTCTTTTGATCAAGCAGTTTGCAAACACTCTTTTGGTAGTATCTGCAACGGGCTATTTGGGGGGTTTTGAGGCCTATAGCTGAAAAGGAAATATCTTCACGTAAAAACTAGACAGAAGCATTCTGAGAAACTTCTTTGTGATGTCTGCATTCATCCCACATAGTTGAAAATTTGTTTTGATTGAGCAGTTTTCAAACACTCTTTTTGTAGAATCTGCAAGGGGATATTTGGAGTGCTTTGAGGTCTATGGCTGAAAAGAAAATATCATCACATAAAAACTAGACTGAGGGATTCTGAGAAACTTCTTTGGGCTGTGTGCATTCATCCTACGGAGTTGAAACTTTCTTTTGTTTGAGCGGTTTTGAAACACTCTTTGTAGAATCTGGAGTTCGATATTTGGGGGGCTTTGAGGCCTATTTTGGAAAAGGAAATATCTTCACATAAAAACTACACAGAAGCATTCTGAGAAAATTCTTTGTTATGAGTGCAATCAACTCACAGAGTTGAACCCATCTTTTGATTGAGCAGATTTGAATCTCACTTTTTGCAGAATCTGTATGGGGATATTTGAAGCGCTTTGAGGCCTACTGTGGAAAAGCAAATATCTTTGCATAAAAACTACAGAGAAGCATTCTGATAAACTTCTTTGTGAGGAGGGCATTCAACTCACAGAATCGAACCTATCTTTTGATTGAGCAGTTTTGAATCTCTCTTTTTGCAGAATCTGCAAGTGGATATTTGGAGAGCTTTGAGGTCTATGGTGGAAAAGCAAATATCTTCACATAACAACTGCACAGAAGCATTCTGAGAAACTTCTTTGTGATGTGGGCATTCAAGTCACAGAATTGAACCTATCTTTTGATTGAGCAGTTTTGAATCTCTCTTTTTGCAGAATCTGCGAGTGGATATTTGGAGAGCTTTGAGGTCTATGGTGGAAAAGCAAATATCTTCACATAAGAACTGCACAGAAGCATTCTGAGAAACTTCTTTTTGATGTGGGCATTCAAGTCACAGAATTGAACCTATCTTTTGATTGAGCAGTTTTGAATTTCTCTCTCTTTTTTTTTAATCTGCAAGTGGATATTTGGAGCCCTTTGTGGCCTATGGTGGAAAATGAAATATCTTCAAATAAAAACTACACAGGAACATTCCGAGAAACTTCTTTGTGATGTGTGCATTTATCTCACAGGGTTGAAAGTATCTTATGATTGAGCAGTTTGGAAACACTCTTTTTGTAGAATCTGCAAGTGGACATTTGGAGCGCTTTGAGGCCTATGGTGGAAAAGGAAATATCTTCACATAAAAACTAGATAGAAGCATCCTGAGAAACTATTTTGTGATGTGTGCCTTCATCTCCTAGAGCTGAACCTCTCTTTTGATAGACCAGTTTTGAAATACTCATTTTGTAGAGCCTGTAAGTGGACATTTCGAGCGCCTTGAGGCCTATGGTGGAAAATAAAATATCTTCATATAAAAACTAGACAGAAAAATTCTGAGAAATTTCTTTGTGATGTGTGCATTCATCTCACAAAGTTGAATGTTTCTTTTGATTGAGCAGTTTGGAAACACTCTTTTTGTACACTCTGCAAGTGGACATTTTGAGTGGTTTGCGGCCTATTGTAGAAAAGGAAATATCTTCACATAAAATCTAGACAGAAGCAATCTGAGAAACTTCTTTGTGATGTGTGCGTTCATCACACAGAGTCAAACCTTTCTTTTGATTGAGCAGTTTTGAAACTCTCTTTTTGTAGAATCTGCAAGTGGACATTTGGAGTGGTTTGAGGCCTATGGTGGAAAAGGAAATATCTTCACATAAAAACTAGACAGAAGAATTCTGAGAAACCTCTTTGTGATGCGTGCGTTCATCTCACAGAGTTGAAACTTTCTTTTGATTGAGCAGTTTGAAAACACTATTTTTGTAGAATCTGCAAGTGGACATTTGGAGCGCCATGTGGCCTACGTTAGAAAATGAAATATCTTCACATAAATTCTAGAAAGAAGCAATCTGGGGAACTTCTTTGAGATATGTGCATTCATCTCACAGAGTTGAAACTTTCTTTTGGATGAGCAGTTTTGAAACTCTCTTTTTGTAGGATCTGCAAGTGGACATTTGGAGTGCTCTGAGGCATATGCTGGAAAAAGAAATATCTTCACATTAAAAACTAGATAGAAGCATTCTGAGGAACCTCTCTGAGATGTGTGCATTCATCTCCCAGAGATGAATCTTTCTATTGAAAAACTAGTTTTGAAATACTCTTTTTGTAGAATCTGCAAGTGGACATTTCCAGCGCCTTGAAGCCTATGGTGGAAAAGGAAATATCTTCACATAACAACTAGACAGAAGAATTCTGAGAAACTTCTTTGTGATGTGTGCATTCGTCTCACAGAGTTGAACCTTTCTGTCCATTGAGCAGTTTCAAAACACTCTTTTTGTAGAATCTGCAAGTGGACACTTAAGGCGCTTTGCGACCTATGGTAGAAAAGGACATATCTTCACTTAAAATCTAGACAGAAGCAATCTGAGAAACGTCTTTGTGATCTGTGCATTCATCTCACAGAGGTTAACCTTTCTTTTGATAGAGTAGTTTTAAAACTCTCCTTTTGTGGAATCTGCAAGTGGACATTTGGAGCACTTTGAGGCTTCAGGTCTAAAAGGAAATATCTTCACATGAAATCTAGACAGAATAATTCTCAGAAAATCCTTCATGATGCATGTGTTCATCTCACAGAGTTGAAACTTTCTTTTGATTGAGCAGTTTGGAAACATTCTTTTTGTAGTATCTGCAAGTGGACATTTGGAGCGCTTTGCAGCCAATTTTGGAAAAGGAAATATGTTCACATAAAATCTAGACAGAAGCAATCCTAGAAACTTCTTTGTGATGTGTGCATTCATCTCACAGAGTTAAACCTTTCTTTTCTTTGAGCAGTTTTGAAACTCTCTTTTTGTAGAATTTGCAAGTGCATATTTGGAGTGCTTTGAGGCCTATGGTGGAAAAGGAAATATCTTCACAAAAAAAATAGACAGAAGCATTCTGGGAAACTTCTTTGTGATGTGTGAGCTGAAACTTTCTTTTGATTGAGCAGTTTGGAAACACTCCTTTTGTAGAATCTGCAAGTGGACATTTGGAGCACTTTGCGGCCTTTGGTGGAAAAGGAAATATTTTCACATAAAATATAGATAGAAGCAAGCTGAGAAACTTCTTTGCGATGTGTGCATTCATCAAACAGAGTTAAAACTTTCTTTTGATAGAGCAGTATGGAAACACTCTTTTTGTAGAATCTGCAAGTGCACATTTTTAGTGCTTTGTGGCCAATGGTAGAAAAGGAAATGTCTTCACATAAAAACTAGATAGAAGCACTCTGAGAGACTGCTTTGTGATGTGTGCATTCATCTTCCGGAGTTGAAATTTCTTTTGAATGACAAGGTTTGAAATACTCTTTTTGTGGAATCTGCAAATGGCTATTTAGAGCACCTGGAGGACTGTGGTGGAAAAGGAAATATCTTCACATAAAAATTAGAAAGAAGTATTCTGAGCAACTTCTTTGTGATGTGTGCGTTCACATCACAGCTTGTGGAAAAAAAAATCTTCAAATAAAAACTACACGGAAGCATTCTGAGAAACTTCTTTGTGATGTGTGCATTCATCTCACAGAGTTGAACCTATCTTTTGATTGAGCAGTTTTGAATTTCTCTTTTTGCAGAATCTGCAGGTGGATATATGGAGCCATTTGCAGCCTATGGTGGAAGAGGAAATATCTTCAAATAAAAACTAGACAGAAACATTCTGAGAAACTTCTTTGTGATGAGTGCATTCATCTCACAGGTTTGAACCTATCTTGTGATTGAGCAGTTTGAAACACTGTTTTTGTAGAATCCACAACTGGATATTTGGAGCCCTTTGAGGCCTACTGCAGAAAAGCAAATATCTTCAGATAAAAACTACACAGAAGCATTGTGAGAATCTTCCTGGGGATGTGTGCACTCATCGCACACAGTTGAAACTTTCTTTTGATTGAGCAAGATTGAAACAGTCTTTTTGTAGAAACTACAAGTGGATATTTGGAGCCCTTTGAGGCCTACTGTGGAAAAAGAAATATCTTCACATAAAAACTACACAGAAGTATTCAGAGAAACTTCTTTGTGATGTATGCATTCAACTCACAGAGTTGAACCCATCTTCTGATTGAGCAGTTTTGAATCTCTCTTTTTGCAGAATCTGCAAGTGGATGTTTGGAGAGCTTTGAGGCCTACTGTGGAAAAGCAAATATCTTCACATAAAAACTACACAGAAGCATTCTGAGAAACTTCTTTGTGAGGTGTGCATTGAACTCACTGAGTTGAATTATCTTCTCATTGAGCAGTTTTGAATCTCCGTTTTGTAGAATCTGCAAGTGGATATTTGGAGCCCTTTGCACCCTATGGTGGAAAAGGAAATATCTTCACGTAAAAACTACACAGAAGCATTCTGAGAAACATTTCTGGGATGTTTGCATTCAACTCACAGAGTTGAACCTATCTTTTGACTGAATAGTTTTCAATCTCTCTTTTTGCCAAATCTGCAAGCGGATATTTGGAGCCTTTTGCGGCCTATGGTGGGAAAGGAAATATCTTCAAATAAAAACTGCACAGAAACATTCAGAGAAACTTCTTTGTGAAGTGCGCATTCATCTCACGGGGTCAAACCTATCTTATGATTGACCAGTTTTGACACACTCTTATTGTAGATTCTGCAAGTGGATATTTGGTGTGCTTTTTGGCCTACCATGGAAAAGCAACTATCTTCAGATAAAAACTACACAGAAGCATTCTGAAAAACTTTTCTGTGATGTGTGCATTCATCTCAAAGAGTTGGACCTTTCTTTTGATTGATCAGTTTTGAAACACACTTTTTGTAGAATCTGCAAGTGAGTATTTGTAGCCCTTTGAGGCCTACTGTGGAGAAGGTAATATCTTTACATAAAAACTACACAGAAGCATTCTGAGAAACTTCTTGGTGATGAGTGCATTCACCTCACACTGTTGAAGATTTCTTTTGATTGAGCAGGTTTGAAACACTCTTTTTGAAGAATCTGCAAGTGGATAATTGGAGCCCCTTGAGGTCCATTTTTGAAAAGGGAATATCTTCACATAAAATCTACTCAGAAATATTCTGAGAAACTTCTTTATGATGGGTGCATTCACCTAACAGAGTTGAACCTATCTTTTCATTGAGCAATTTAGGATCTCTCTTTTTGTAGAATCTGCAAGTGGTTATTTGGAGCCCTTTGTGCCCTATGGTGGAAAATGAAATATCTTCAAATAAAAACTACACAGAAGCATTCTCAGAAACTTCTTCATGATGTGTGCATTCAACTCAGAGGGTTGAAACTATCTTTTCATTAAACATTTTGAATCTCTCTTTTTGTAGAATCTGCAGGTGGATATTTGGAGCGTTGTGAGGCGTACTGTGGAAAATCAAATATGTTCACATAAAAACTACACAGAGGCATTTTGGGAAACAACTTTGTGATGTGTGTAAGCAACTCACAGGGTTGAACCTGTCTTTTGATTGAGCAGTTTTGAATCTCTCTTTTTGCAGAACCTGCTAGTGGAAGTTTGGAAAGCTTTGAGGCCGAATGTGGAAAAGGAAATATCTTCACATTAAAACTACACGGAAGCATTCTGAAAAACTTCTTTGTGAGGTGTACATTCAACTCACAGAGTTGAACTTATCTTCTCCTTGAGCATTTTTGAATCTCTCTTTTTGTAGAATCTGCAAGTGGATATTTGGAGCCCTTTGCACCCTATTGTGGAAAAGGAAATATCTTCAAATAAAAGCTACATAGAATCATTCAGAGAAAGTTCTTTGTGATGTATTCATTCAACTGACAGAGTTGAACCCATCTTTTGATTGAGCAGTTTTGAATCTCTCTTTTTGCAGAATCTGCAGGTGGATATTTGGAGCTCTTTGAGGCCTACTGTGGAAAAGCAAATATCTTCACATGAAAACTACACTGAAGCATTCTGAATAACTTCTTTGTGATGGGTGCATTCACCTCACGAGGTTGAACATATGTTATGATTGAGCAGTTTTGAATCTCTCTTTTTGCCGAATCTGCAAGTGGATATTTGGAGCGCTTTGAGGCCTATGGTGGAAAAGGAATATCTTCATATAAAAACTAGACAGAAGCATTCACAGAAACTTCTTTGCAATGCGGGCATTCAACACACAGAGTTGAACGTTTCTTTTGATATGGCAGTTTTGAACCACTCTTTTTGTAGAATCTGCCAGTGGATATTTGGAGCACTTTGAGGTCTATGGTGGAAAAGGAAATATCTTCACATAAAAACTAGACAGAAGCATTCTGAGAAACTTTTTTCTGATGTGTGCATTCATCTCACAGAGTTGAAGCTTTCTTTTGATTGAGCAGTTTTGAAACACACTTTTTATAGAATCTGCAAGTGGGTATTTGTAGCCCTTTGAGGCCTATTGTGGAAAAGGAAATATCTTTATATAAAAACTACACAGAAGCATTCTGAGAAACTTCTTGGTGAGGAGTGCATTCACCTCACAGAGTTGAATATTTATTTTGATTGAGCAGGCTTGAAACACTCTTTTTGTAGAATCTGCAAGTGGATAATTGGAGCCCTTTAAGGCCTATAGTGGAAAAGGAAATATCTTCACATAAAAACTATGCAGAAGTATTCTGAGAAACTTCTTTGTGATGTGTGCATTCAACTAACGGAGTTAAACCTATCTTTCCATTGAGCAGTTTAGGATCTCTCTTTTTGTAGAATTTGCAAATGGATGTTTGGAGCCCTTTGTGCCCTATGGTGGAAAAGGTAATATCTTCAAATAAAAACTAAACAGCGGCATTCTCAGAAACTTCTTTGTGATGTGTGTATTTTACTCACAGAGTTGAACCTTTCTTTTGATAGAGCAGTTTTGAAACACTCTTTTTGAAGAAACTGCACGTGGATATTTGGAGATCTTTGAGGTCTATGGTGGAAAAGGAAATATCTACACATAAAAACTAGACAGAAGCATTCTCAGAAACTTCTTTGTGATGTGTGCATTGAACTCACAGTGTTGAATCTTTCTTTTGATACAGCAGTTTTGAAACACTCATTTTGCACAATCTTCAAATGCATACTTGGAACGCTTTGAGGCTTATGGGGGAAAAGGAAAAATCTTCACATGAAAACTAGACATAAGCATTCTCAGAAACTTCTTTGTGATGTGTGCATTCAACTCACAGAGTTGAACCTTTCTTTTGATTGAGCAGTTTTTAAAATCTCTTTTTGTAGAAACTGCAATTGGATATTTGGAGCGCTTTGAGGCCTATGGTGGAAAAGGAAATATCTTCACATAAAAATTACACTGAAGCATTCTGAGAAACTTCTTTGTGATGTGTGCATTCACCTCACAGAGTTGAACCTTTCTTTTTGTAGAGCTTTTTTGAAACACTCTTTCTGTAGAATCAGCAAGTGGATATTTGTAGCGCTTTGAGGCCTATGGTGGAAAAGGAAATAACTTGACCAAAAAATTAGACAGAAACATTCTCAGTAACTTCTTTTTTGTGTGTGCATTCAACTCACAGAGTTGCACCTTTCTTTTGATAGAGCTGTTTTGAAACATTCATTTGCAGAATCTGCAAGTAGATATTTCCTTTCCTTTGAGGCCTGTGTTGGAAAACAAAATATCTTCACAAAAAAGTAGACTGAAGCATTCTCTGAAACTTCTTTTTTATGGGTGCATTCACCTCACAGACTTGAACTTTTCTTTTGGTAGAGCACTTTGAAACATTCTTCCTGTAGAATCTGCAAGTGGACATTTGGTTCCCTTTGAGGCCTATGTTGGAAAAGGAAATATCTTCATATAAAAACTAGAGAGAAGCATTCTCAGAAACTTCATTATGATGTGTCCATTCAACTCACAGAGTTGAACATTTATTTTGATACACTAGTTTTGAAACACTCTTTTTGTAGTATCTCAAAGTGGATATTTGGAGCACTTTGAGGCCTATGGTGGAAAAGGCAAAATCGTCACATAAAAACTAGACAGAAGCATTCTCAGAAACTTCTTTGTGATGTATGCATTCAACTCACAGAGTTGAAACTTTCTTTTGATAGAGCAGTTTTCAAACACTCTTTTTCTAGAATCTGCAAGTTGATATTTAGTTCCCTTTGAGGCCTGTGTTGGAAAACGAAATATATTCAAATAAAAACTAGGCAGAAGCATTCTCAGAAACTTCTTTGTGATGTGTGCATTCAACACACAGAGTTGAAACTTTCTTTTGATAGAGAAGTTTTGAGACAGTCTTTTTGTAGAATCTCCAAGTGGATATTTGGAGTGCTTTGAGGCCTATGGTGGAAAAGGAAATATCTTCACATGAAAACTAGGCAGAAGTGTTCTCCGAAACTGCTTTGTGATGTGTGCATTCAACTCATAGTGTTGAACCTTTCTTTAGATAGAGCAGTTTTGAAATACTCTTTTTGTAAAATCTGCAAGAAGATATATGGAGCGCTTTGAGGCTCAGGTGGAAAAGGAAATATCTTCACATAAAAACTAGACAGAAGCATACTCCGAAACTTCTTTGTGAAGTGTGCATTCAACTCACAGAGTTGAACCCTTCTTTTGATAAAGCAGTTTTGAAAAACTATTTTAGTATAATCTGCAAGTGGATATTTTGTTCCCTTTTTGGCCTATGGTGGAAAATGAAATAACTTCATATAAAAACTATACAGAAGCATTCTCAGAAACTTTTTTGTGATGTGTGCATTCAACTCACAGAGTTGAACCTTTTTTTTGATAGAGCAGTTTTGAAACACTCTTTTTGCAGAATCTGCAAGTGGATATTTGGAGCGCTTTGAGGCCTACAGTGGAAAAGGAAATATCTTCACATAAAAATTACACTGAAGCATTCTGAGAAACTTATCCGTGATGTGTGCATTCAACTGACACAGTTGAACCTTTCTTTTGATAGAGCAGTTTTGAAACACACTTTTTGTAGAATCTCCTTTGGATATGTTCTTCCCTTTGAGGCCTATAATGGAAAACCAAATATCTTCACATAAAAACTAGACAGAAGCATTCTCAGAAACTTCTTTGTGATGCGTGCATTCAACTCACAGAGTTGAACATTTCTTTTGATATACTAGTTTTAAAACACTCTTTTTGTAGAATCTGAAAAGGATATCTGAAACGCTTTGGGGCCTATGGTTGAAAAGGAAATATGTTCAAATAAAAGACCGACAGAAGCATTCTCAGAAACATCTTTCTGATGGGGGCATTCAACTCAGAGTTGAAACTTTCCTTTGACAGAGCCGTTTTGTAACACTCTTTTTGTAAAATCTGCAAGTGGATATTTGGAGCGCTTTGAGGCCTATGGTTGAAAAGGAAATATCTTCACATGAAAACTAGACTGAAGTGTTCTCCGAAATTTCCTTGGATTTGTGTGCATTCAATTCACAGTGTTGAACTTTTCTTTTGATAGAGCAGTTTAGAAACACTCTTTTTGTGAAATGTGCAAGAGGATATATGGAGCGCTTTGAGGCCTAAGGTGGAAAAGGAAATATCTTCACATAAAAACTAGACAGAAGAATTCTGCGAAACTTCTTTGTGATGTGTGCATTCAACTCACAGTGTTGAAATTTTCTTTTGATAGAGCAGTTTTGAAACACGGTTTTGTAAGTTCTGCAAGGGATATATGGAGCGGTTTGAGGCCAGTGTTGGAAAAGGAAATATTTTGATATAAAAACTAGAGAGAAACATTCTCCCAAACCTTATTGTGATGTGTGCATTCAACTGACAGAGTTGAACCCTTCTTTTGATACAGCAGTTTTGAAAGACTCTTTTTGTATAATCTGAAACTGTATATTTTGTTACCTTTGAAGCCTGTGTTGCAAAACAAAATATCTTCACATAAATACTAGACAGAAGCATTCTCAGAAGCTTCTTTGTGATGTGTGGATAAAACTCACAGAGTTGAAACTTTCTTTTGATAGAGTAGGTTTGAAACAATCTCTTTGTAGAATCTGCATGTGGATATTTGTAGCGCTTTGAGGCCTGTGGTTGAAAAGGAAATATCTTCAAATAAAAACTAGACAGAGGCATTCTCATAAACTTCTTTGTGATGTGTGTATTCAACTCACAGCATTGAACCTTTCTTTTGATAGAGCAATTTAGAAACACTCTTTTTGTGCTATCTGAAGTGGATATTTGGGGCGCTTTGAGACCTATGGTGGAAAAGAAATTATCTTCACATAAAAACTAGACAGAATCATTCTCTGAAACCTATTTGTGATGTGCACATTCAACTTACAGAGTTGAATCTTTCTTTTGATAGAGCAGCTTTGAAACACTCTTTTTGTAGAATCTGCAAGTGGATATTTTGTTCTCTTTGAGGCCTATGTTGAAAAACGAAATATCTACACATAAAAACTAGACAGAAGCACTCTGTGAAACTTCTTGGCGATGTGTGCATTCCACTCACAGAGTTGAACATTTCTTTTCATAAAGCAGTTTTTAAACACTCTTTTTGTAGAATCCAGAAGTGGATATTTGGAGCGCTTTGAGGCCTATAGTGGAAAAGGAAATATCTTCACATAAAAACTAGACAGAAGCATTCTCAGAAACTTCTTTGTGATGTGTGCATTCAACTCACAGAGTTGGAACTTTCTTTTGATATAGCAGTTTTGAAACACTCTTTTTGTAGAATCTGCTAGGGGATATTTTGTTCCCTTAGAGGCCTATGTTGGAAATCGTAATAACTTCACATGAAAGCTAGATAGAAACATTCTCAGAATCTTCTTTGTGATATGAGCATTCATCCCACCGGGTTGAACCCTTCTTTTGATTGACTAGTTTTGAAACACTCTTTTTGTAGAATCTGCAATTGGATATTTGGTTCCATTTCAGGCCTATGGTGGAAATTGAAATATCTTCACATAAGAACTAGACAGAAGCATTCTCAGAAACTTCTTTGGAATGTGTGCATTCAACTCTCAGAGTTCAAATTTTTTTTTGATAGAGCAGTTTTGAAACACTCTTATTTAAAAGCTGCAAGTGGATATTTGGAGCACTTTGAAGACTATGATTGAACAGGGAATATCCCCACATAAAAACTAGACAGAAGCATTCTCAGAAACTTCTTTGTGTTGTGTGCATTCAACTCACAGACCTGAATATTTCTTTTGATAGAGAAGTTATGAAACACTCTTTTTTAGAATCTGCAAGTGGATATTTGGAGTGCATTGAGGCCCATGGTGAAAAAGGAAATCTCTTCCCATAAAAACTAGACAGAAGCATTCTCAGAAACTTGTTTGTGATGTGTGTACTCAACTAACAGAGTTGAACATTTCTTTTGATAGAGCAGTTTTGAAACACTCTTTCTGTAGAATCTGCTAGGTGATATTTGGTTCCCTTTGTGGCCTATGTTAGAAATCAAAATTACTTCAGATAAAAACTAGACAGAAGCATTCTCAGAATATTCTTTGTGATGTGAGCATTCATCCCACAGGGTTAAACCTTTCTTTTGATAGACCAGTTTTGAAACACTCTTTTTGTAGAATCTGCAAGTGGATATTTGGAGCACTTTGAAGCTTATGATGGAAAAGGGAATATCCCCACATAAAAACTAGACAGAAGCATTCTCAGAAACTTCTTTGAGTTGTGTGCATTCAACTCACAGAGTTGAACAATTCCTTTGATAGAGCAGTTTTGAAACACACTTCTTTAGAATCTGCAAGTTGATATTTGGAGTGCATTGAGGCCTATGGTGCAAAAGAAAATAACTTCACATAAAATCTAGACAGAAGTATTCTCTGAAACTGCTTGGTGAAGTGTGCACTCAACTCACAAAATTGAACCTTTCTTTTCACTGAGCAATTTTGAAACGCTCTTTTGGTAGAATCTGCAAGTGGATATTTGGAGCACTTTGAGGCCTATGGTTTAAAGGAAATATCTTCACATAAAAACTAGACAGAAGCATTCTCATGAAACTCTTTGTGATGTGAGCATTCAACTCACAGAGTTGAACCTTTCTTTTGATAGAGCAATTTTGAAACACTCTTTTTGTAGAATCTGCAGGTGGATATTTGGTTCCCTTTGAGGTGTATGTTGGAACAGGAAATATATTCACACAAAAACTAGACAGAAACATTCTCAGAAACTTCCTTGGGATGTGTGTATTCAACTCATGGAGCTGAAACTTTTTTTGATAGAGCAGTTTTGAAACACTCTTATTACAGAATCTGCAAGTGGATATTTGGAGCGTTTTGAGGCCTAGGGTGGAAAAGGAAATATCTTCAGATAAAAACTAGACAGAAACATTCTCTGAAAGAGTTTGTGACGTGTGCACTCAAATCACAGAGTTGCACCTTTCTTTTGATAGAGCGGTTTTGAAACACTCATTTGTAGAATCTGTAAATGGATATTTTGTTCCCTTTGAGGCCTACATTTGAAAATGAAATATCTTCACATAAAAACTACACAGAAGCATTCTAAGAAACTTCTTTGTGATGTGTGCATTCAACTCACGGAGGTGAACCTTTCTTTTGATTGAGCAGTTTTGAAACACTCTTTTTGTAGGATCTGGAAGTGGATATTTGGAGCACTTTGAGGCCTATGGTGGAAAAGAAATTATCTTCACATAAAAACAAAACAGAATCATTCTCTGAAACGTCTATGTGATGTGTGCATTCAACTCACAGAGTTGAAACTTTCTTTTGAAAGAACAGTTTAGAAACACTCTTTTTGTAGCATCTGCAAGTGGATATTTTGTTCCTTTTGAGGCCTACGATGGAAAACTAAATATCTTCACATAAAAACTAGAGAGAAGCTTTCTCAGAAACTCCTTTGTGATGTGTGGATTCAACTCACAGAGTTGAACATTTCTTTTGATAGAGCCGTTTTGAAACACTCTTTTTGTAGGATCTGCAAGTGGATATTTGGGGCGTTTGAGGCCTATGGTGGAAATGAAAGTACCTTCACATAAAAACTAGACAGAATCATTCTCTGAAACCTCTTTGTGATGTGCACATTCAACTTACAGAGTTGAATCTTTCTCTTGATGGAGCCGCTTTGAAACACTCTTTTTGTAGAATCTGCAAGTGGATATTTTGTTCCCTTTGAGGCTTATGTTGGAAAACGAAATATTCACACATAAAAACTAGACAGAAGCCTTCTGCAAAACTTCTTGGCGATGTGTGCATTCCACTCACAGAGTTGAACATTTCTTTTCATAAAGCAGTTTTTAAACACTCTTTTTGTGGAATCTAGAAGTGGATATTTGGAACGCTTTGAGGCCTATAGTGGAAAAGGAAATATTTTCACATAAAAACTAGACAGAAGAATTCTCCAAAACTTCTTATTGATGTATGCATTCAACTCACAGGGTTGAAACTTTCTTTTGATATAGCAGTTTTCAAATACTGTTTTTGTAGAATCTGCTAGAGGATATTTTGTTCCCTTAGAGGCCTATGTTGGAAATTGAAATAAATTCACATGGAAACTAGACAGAAGCATTCTCAGAATCTTCTTTGTGATGGGAGCATTCATCCCACAGGGTTGAACCCTTCTTTTGATTGACTAGTTTTGAAACACTCTTTTTGTAGAATCTGCAACTGGATATTTGGTTCCATTTCAGGCCTATGGTGGAAAAGCAAATATCTTCACATAAGAACTAGATAGAAGCATTCTCAGAAACTTCTTTGGAATGTGTGCATTCAACTCTCAGGGTTCAAATTTTTTTTTGATAGAGCAGTTTTGAAACACTCTTATTTAAAATCTGCAAGTGAATATTTGGAGCACTTTGAAGCCTATGATTGAAAAGGGAATATCCCCACATAAAAACTAGACAGAAGCATTCTCAGAAACTTCTTTGAGTTGTGTGCATTCAACTCCCAGACTTGAACATTTCTTTTGATAGAGAAGTTTTGAAACACTCTTTTTTAGAATCGGCAAGTGGATATTTGGAGTGCATTGAGGCCCAGGTGAAAAAGGAAATATCTTCTCATAAAAACTGGACAGAAGTATTCTCCGAAACTGCTTGGTGATGTGTGCTTTCAACTCACAGAGTTCAACCTTTCTTTTGATAGAGCAGTTTTGAAACACCCTTTTCGTAGTATCTGCAAGTGGATATTTGGAGCACTTTGAGGTCTCTGGTTTAAAGGAAATATCTTCACGTAAAAACTAGACAGAAGCATTCTCATGAAATTCTTTGTGATGTGTGCATTCAATTCACAGAGTTCAACCTTTCTTTTGATAGGGCATCTGTGAAACAATCTTTTTGTAGAATCTGCAATTGAATATTCGGTTCCCTTTGAGGCCTGTGTTGGAAAATGAAATATCTTCACATAAAAACTAGACAGAATCATTCTCATGAAATTCTTCATAATGTGTGCATTCACCTCACAGAGTTGAAGATTTCTATTGATAGAGCAATTTTGAAACACTCTTTTTGTAGAGTCTGCAAGTGGATATTTGGTTCACTTTGAGGCGAATGTTGGAAAAGGAAACATCTTCACATTAAAACAAGACAGAAGCATTCTCAGAAACTTCTATGTGATGTGTGCATTCAACTCACAGAGTTGAACCTTTCATTTCAGAGAGCAGATTTGTAACACTCCTTTTGAAGAATCTTCAAGTGGATATCTGTTTCCCTTTGAGACCTCTGTTGGAAAACGAAATATCTTTACATAAAAACTCGATAGAAGCATTCTCAGAAACTTCTTTGTGAAGTGTGCATTCAACTCACAGAGTTGAAACTTTCCTTGTTTGCGCAGTTATGAAACACGCTTTTTGTGCAATCTGCAAATGGATATTTGAAGCGCTTTGAGGCCTATGGTGGAAGAGGAAATATCTTCATTTTAAAACTGCATGGAAGCACTCTCAGAAAATACTTTGTGATACGTGCATTCAACTCACAGAGTTGAAGCTCTCTTTTGATAGAGCCGTTTTGAAACACTGTTTTTGTAGAATCTGCAAGCGGACATTGGCAGTGCTTTGAGGCCTATGGTTGAAAAGGAAATATCTTCACACAAAAACTAGACAGAAGCATTCTCAGAAACATCTTTCGGATGTGGGCATTCAACTCGCAGATTTAAACCTTTCTTTTGATAGAGCAGTTTTGAAACACTCTTTTTTTAGAAACTACCAATGGATATTTTGTTCCCGTTGAGGTCTATGTTGGGAAAGGAAATATCTTCACATAAAAAATAGACAGAAGCATTCTAAGAAACTTCTTTGTGATGTGTGCATTCGAATCACAGAGTTGAACTTTTCTTATGATAGAACAGTTGTGAAACACTCTTTTTGTATAATTCGCAAGTGGATATTTTGTTCCCTCTGAGGTCAGTGTTGGAAAATGAAATATCTTCACAGAAAAACTAGACAGAAGCATTCTCAAAAACTTATTTGTGATGTGTGCCTTCAACTCACAGAGTTGAACCTTTCTTTTGTAGAGCAGTTTTGAAACAGTCTTTTTGTAGAATCTGCAAGTGGATATTTCGTGCGCTTTGAGACCTCTGGTGGGAGAGGAAATATCTTCACATAAAAACTAAACAGAAGCATTCTCCGAAACTGTTTTTTGTTGTGTCTATTACACTCACAGAGTTGAGCATTTCTTTAGGTAGAACAGTTTGGAAACACTCTTTTTGTAGAATCTGAAAGTGGATATTTGGAGCGCTTTGAGGCTTATGGTGGAAAACGAAATATCTTCACATAAAAACTAGACAGAAGCATTCTCAGAAACTTCTTTGTGATGTGTGCACTCAAGTCACAGTGTAAAACGTTTCTTTTGATAGAGCAGCTGTGAAACACTCGTTTTGTAGACTATGTAAGTGGATATTTTGCTCCCTTTGAGGCCTGTGTTGGAAAACGAAATGTCTTCACATAAAAACTAGACAGAAGAATTCTCAAAAACATCTTTGTGATGTGTGCAATCAACTCACGGAATTGAAACTCTCTATTGATAGAACAGTTTGAAACACTCTTTTTGTAGAATCTGCAAGTGGACATTTGGAGCGTTTTGAGGCTTATGGTGGAAAAGGAAATAACTAAATATTAAAACTAGACAGAAGCCCTCTCGGAAACTTCTCTGTGATGTTTGCATTCAACTTACCGAATTGATCCTTTCTTTTGATAGAGCAGTTGTGAAACACTGGTTTTGTAGAATCTGCAAGTGGATACTTTGTTCCCTTTGAGGCCTGTGTTGGAAAACGGAATGTCTTCACATAGAAAATAGACAGAAGAATTCTCAGAAACATCTTTGTGATGTGTGCATTCAACTCACAGAGTTGAACCTTTCTATTGACAGAGCAGTTTGAAACACTCTTTTTGTAGATTCTGCAAGTGGACATTTGGAGCGTTTTGAGACTTACGGTGGAAAAGGAAATAACTGAACATTAAAACTAGCCAGAAGCACTCTCGGAAACTTCTTTGTGATGTTTGCATTCAACTTACCTAGTTGATCCTTTCTTTCGATAGAGCAGTTTTGAAACACTGTATTTGTAGAATCTGCAAGTAGATATTTGTATCCGTTTGAGGCCTATGGTGGAAAACTAAGTATCTTCACATGAAAACTAGACAGAAGCATTCTCAGAAACTCCTTTGTGATGTGCGCATTCAACTCACAGAGCTGAACCTTTCTTTTGACCGAGCAATTTGAAACACTCTTTTTGTAGAATCTGCAAACAGATATTTGGAGCACTTTCAGGCGAACGTTGGAAAAGGAAATAGCTGCATATAAAAACGAGACAGAAGCATTCTCTGAAACTACTTAGTGATGTGTGCATTCTACTCACAGAGTTGAACCTTTCTTTTGATAGAGCTGTTGTCAAACCCTATTTTTGTAATATCTGCCAGTGAATATATGGACCGCTTTGAGGTCTGTGGTGGAAAAGGAAATAAGTTCATGTAAAAAATTAACAGGAGCACTCTCAGAAACTTCTTCGTGATATGTGTATTCAACTCACAGAGATGTACACTTCTTTTTACAGAGCAGATTTGAAACACTCTTTTTGAAGAATCTGTAGGTGGATATGCGGTTCCCTTTGAGGCATATGTTGGAACACGAAATATCTTTGCATAAGAAATAAACAGAAGCATTCTCAGAAACTTCGTTGTGATGTGTGCATTCAACTCACAGAGTTGAACCTTCTTTTGATAGAGCAGTTTTGAAACACTCTTTTTGTAGAATCTGCAAGTGGATAATTTTTCGGCTATGAGGCCTGTGGTGGAAAACAAAAATCTTCACATTAAAACGAGATAGAAGCATTCTCAGAAACTTCATTGTGATGTGCGCATTCAACTGACAGAGTTGTACACTTCTTTTGATAGAGCAGGTTTTGAAATACTCTTTTTGTAGAATCTGCAAGTGCATATGTGGTTCCCTTTGAGGCCTATGTTGGAAAACGAAATATCTTCTCCAAAAACTAGACAGAAGCATTCTCAGAGACTTCTTTGCGATGTGTGCATTCAACTCACAGTGTTGAACTTTCTTTTCGTAGAGGAATTTTGAAACGCTCTTTTGGTAGTATCTGCAAATGGATATGTGATTCCCTTGAGGTCTATGTTGGAAAACGAAATATCTTCATATAAAAACTAGACAGAAGCATTCTCAGAAACTTCGTTGTGATGTGTGCATTCCAATCACAGAGTTGAACCTTCTTTTGATAGAGCAGTTTTGAAACACTCTTTTTGTAGAGTCTGCAAGTGGATATTTGGAGTGCTTTGAGGCCTGTGTTGGAAATCGAACTATCTTCACATAAATACTAGACGGGAGCTTTCTCAGAAACTACTTTGTGATGTGTGCATTCAACTCACAAAGTTGAACTTTTCTTTTGATAGAGCAAGTTTGAAACTCTCTTTTTGTAGAATCTGCAAGTGGATATTTGGAAAGCTTTGAGGTCTATGGTGGAAAAGGAAATATCTTCCCATAAAAACCAGACAGAAGCATTCTCCAAAACTTCTTTGTGACGTGTGCATTATTCTCACAGGATTGAACTTTTCTTTTGATGGAGGAGATTTGAAACACTCTTTTGGCAGAATCTGCAAGTGGATATTTTGTTCCCTTTGTGGCTTATTTTGGATAAAGGAATATCTTCACAAAAACTAGACAGAAGCATTCTCCGAAATTTCTTTGTGATGTGTGCATTCAACTCACAGAGTTGAACCTTTCTTTTGATAGAGCAGTTTTGAAACACTCTTTCTGTAGAATCTGCAAGTCGATATTTTGATCGCTTTGAGGCCCATATTAGAAAACGAAATATCTTCACATAAAAACTAGACGGACGCATTCTCAGAAACTTCTTTGTGATGTGTGCATTCAATTCACAGAGGTGAACTTTTCTTTTGGTAGAGTAGTTTTGAAACACTCTTTTTGTAGAATCTACAAGTGCATATTTTCTTCCCTTTGAAGCCTATGTTGGAAAATGAAATATCTTCACATAAAAACTAGACAGAAGCATTCTCAGAAATTTCTTTATGATGTGTGCATTCAACTCACAGAGGGGAACCTTTCTTTTGATAGAGCATTTCTGAAACACTCTTTTTGTAAAACCTGCAAGTGGATATTTGGAGCGCTTTCAGGCCTATTGTGGAAAAAGCAATATCTTGACATAAAAGCTAGACAGAAGCATTCTCAGAAATTTCTTTGTGATCCGTGCATTCAACTCACAGAATTAAACATTTCTTCTGAGAGAGCGGGGTTTTGAAACCCTCTTTTTGTAGAAACTGCAAGTGGCTATTTTGTTCCCGTTGAGGCCTATGTTGGAAAGCGAAATATCTTCACATCAAAACTAGACAGAAGCATTCTCAGAGAATTCTTTGTGATGTGTGCATTCAAGTCACGGAGTTGAACCTTTCTTTTGATAGTGCAGTTTTGAAACATTATTTCTGTAGTATCTGCAAGTGGATATTTGGAGTGCTTTGAGGTCTTTGGTGCAAAAGGAAATATGTTCCAATAAAAATTAGACAGAATCATTCTCAGAAACTACTTCGTGATTTGTGCATGGAACTCACAGGGTTGAACCTTTCTTTTGATAGCGCAGTTTTGAAACAGTCTTTTTGTAGAATTTGCAGGGGATATTTGAGGGCTTTGAGGCCTACGGTGGAAAAGGATATATCTTCACATAAAAACTAGACAACATTTTTCTGAGACTTCTTTGTGATCTGTGCATTCAACTCACAGTGTTGAATGCTTTTTTTGATAGAGCAGTTTGAAAACTCTCGTTTTTTAAAATCTGCAAGTGGATATATGGAGCGCTTTGAGGCCTATGGTGGAAAAAGAAATATTTTCAGGTAAAAAGTAGAATGAAGCATTCTCAGAAACTTCTTTGAGATGTGTGCATTCAACTCACAGAGATGTACACTTCTTTAGATAGAGTAGATTTGAAATACTCTTTTTGAAGGATCTATAGGTGGATATGCAGTTCCCTTTGAGGCATATGTTGAAAAATGAAATATCTTTACATAAGAAATAGACAGAAGTATTCTCAGAAACTTCATTTTGATGTGTGCATTCACCTCACAGCGTTGAACCTTTCTTTTGATAGAGCAGTTTTGAAACACTCCTTTTGCAGAATCTGCATGTGGACATTTTGAGCGCTTTGAAGCCTATCGTGGAAAAGGAAATATCTACACATAAAAACTAGACAGATTCATTCTCAGAAACTTCTTTGTGATGTGTGCATTCAACTCACAGAGTTGAACCTTTCATTTCAGAGAGCAGATTTGTTACACTCCTTTTGAAGAATCTTCAAGTGGATATTTGTTTCCCTTTGAGGTCTCTGTTGGAAAACGAAATATCTTTACATAAAAACTCGATAGAAGCATTCTCAGAAACTTCTTTGTGAAGTGTGCATTCAACTCACAGAGTTGAAACTTTCCTTGTTTGCGCAGTTATGAAACACGCTTTTTGTGCAATCTGCAAATGGATATTTGAAGCGCTTTGAGGCCTATGGTGGAAGAGGAAATATCTTCATTTTAAAACTGCATGGAAGCACTCTCAGAAAATTCTTTGTGATACGTGCATTCAACTCACAGAGTTGAAGCTCTCTTTTGATAGAGCCGTTTTGAAACACTGTTTTGGTAGAATCTGCAAGCGGACATTGGCAGTGCTTTGAGGCCTATGGTTGAAAAGGAAATATCTTCACACAAAAACTAGACAGAAGCATTCTCAGAAACATCTTTCTGATGTGGGCATTCAACTCGCAGATTTAAACCTTTCTTTTGATAGTGCAGTTTTGAAACACTCTTTTTTTAGAAACTACCAATGGATATTTTGTTCCCATTGAGGTCTATGTTGGGAAAGGAAATATCTTCACATAAAAAATAGACAGAAGCATTCTAAGAAACTTCTTTGTGATGTGTGCATTCGAATCACAGAGTTGAACTTTTCTTATGGTAGAACAGTTGTGAAACACTGTTTTTGTATAATTCGCAAGTGGATATTTTGTTCCCTCTGAGGTCAGTGTTGGAAAATGAAATATCTTCACATAAAAACTAAACAGAAGCATTCTCCGAAACTGTTTTTTGTTGTGTCTATTACACTCACAGAGTTGAGCATTTCTTTTGATAGAACAGTTTGGAAACACTCTTTTTGTAGAATCTGAAAGTGGATATTTGGAGCGCTTTGAGGCTTATGGTGGAAAACGAAATATCCTCACATAAAAACTAGACAGAAGCATTCTCAGAAACTTCTTTGTGATGTGTGCACTCAAGTCACAGTATAAAACGTTTCTTTTGATAGAGCAGCTGTGAAACACTGGTTTTGTAGAATCTGCAAGTGAATGCTTTGTTCCCTTTGAGGCCTGTGTTGGAAAACGAAATGTCTTCACATAAAAACTAGACAGAAGAATTCTCAGAAACACCTTTGTGATGTGTGCATTCAACTCAGAGAGTTGAAGCTTTCTATTGACAGAGCAGTTGGAAACACTCTTTTTGTAGATTCTTCAAGTGGACATTTGGATCGTTTTGAGACTTATGCTGGAAAAGGAAATAACTAAACATTAAAACTAGCCAGAAGCACCCTCGGAAACTTCTTTGTGATGTTTGCATTCAACTTACCGAGTTGATCCTTTCTTTCGATAGAGCAGTTTTTAAACACTCTATTTGTTGAATCTGCAAGAAGATATTTGTATCCCTTTGAGGCCTATGGTGGAAAACTAAGTATCTTCACATGAAAATTAGACAGAAGCATTCTCAAAAACTCCTTTGTGATGTGCGCATTCAACTCACAGAGTTGAACCTTTCTTTTGACCGAGCAATTTGAAACACTCTTTTTGTAGAATCTGCAAACAGATATTTAGAGCACTTTCAGGCGAATGTTGCAAAAGGAAATAGCTGCATATAAAAACTAGACAGAAGCATTCTCTGAAACTACTTAGTGATGTGTGCATTCTACTCACAGAGTTGAACCTTTCTTTTGATAGAGCAGATTTCAAACCCTAATTTTGTAATATCTGCCAGTGAATATATGGACCACTTTGAGGTCTGTGGTGGAGAAGGAAATAAGTTCATGCAACAAATTAACAGGAGCACTCTCAGAAACTTCTTTGTGATATGTGTATTCAACTCAGAGAGATGTACACTTCTTTTTATAGAGCAGATTTGAAACACTCTTTTTGAAGAATCTGTAGGTGGATATGCGGTTCCCTTTGAGGCATATGTTGGAACACGCAATATCTTTGCATAAGAAATAAACGGAAGCACTCTCAGAAACTTCTTCGTGATATGTGCATTCAACTCACAGAGATGTACACTTCTTTTTATAGAGCAGATTTGAAACACTCTTTTTGAAGAATCTGTAGGGGGATATGCGGTTCCCTTTGAGGCATATGTTGGAACACGAAATATCTTTGCATAAGAAATAAACAGAAGCATTCTCAGAAACTTCGTTGTGATGTGTGCATTCAACTCACAGAGTTGAACCTTCTTTTGATAGAGCAGATTTGAAACACTCTTTTTGTAGAATCTGCAAGTGGATACTTTTACAGCTATGAGGCCTGTGGTGGAAAAGAAAAATCTTCACATAAAAACGAGATAGAAGCATTCTCAGAAACTTCATTGTGATGTGTGCATTCAACTGACAGAGTTGTACACTTCTTTTGATAGAGCAGGTTTTGAAATACTCTTTTTGTAGAATCTGCAAGTGCATATGTGGTTCCCTTTGAGGCCTATGTTGGAAAACGAAATATCTTCTCCAAAAACTAGACAGAAGCATTCTCAGAGACTTCTTTGTGATGTGTGCTTTCAACGCACAGTGTTGAACTTTCTTTTCATAGAGGAATTTTGAAACGCTCTTTTGGTAGTGTCTGCAAGTGGATATGTGATTCCCTTGAGGTCTATGTTGGAAAACGAAATATCTTCATATAAAAACTAGACAGAAGCATTCTCAGAAACTTCGTTGTGATGTGTGCATTCCAATCACAGAGTTGAACCTTCTTTTGATAGAGCAGTTTTGAAACACTCTTTTTGTAGAGTCTGCAAGTGGATATTTGGAGTGCTTTGAGGCCTGTGTTGGAAATCGAACTATCTTCACATAAATACTAGACGGGAGCTTTCTCAGAAACTACTTTGTGATGTGTGCATTCAACTCACAAAGTTGAACTTTTCTTTTGATAGAGCAAGTTTGAAACTCTCTTTTTGTAGAATCTGCAAGTGGATATTTGGAAAGCTTTGAGGTCTATGGTGGAAAAGGAAATATCTTCCCATAAAAACCAGACAGAAGCATTCTCCAAAACTTCTTTGTGACGTGTGCATTATTCTCACAGGATTGAACTTTTCTTTTGATGGAGGAGATTTGAAACACTCTTTTGGCAGAATCTGCAAGTGGATATTTTGTTCCCTTTGTGGCTTATTTTGGATAAAGGAATATCTTCACAAAAACTAGACAGAAGCATTCTCCGAAATTTCTTTGTGATGTGTGCATTCAACTCACAGAGTTGAACCTTTCTTTTGATAGAGCAGTTTTGAAACACTCTTTCTGTAGAATCTGCAAGTCGATATTTTGATCGCTTTGAGGCCCATATTAGAAAACGAAATATCTTCACATAAAAACTAGACGGACGCATTCTCAGAAACTTCTTTGTGATGTGTGCATTCAATTCACAGAGGTGAACTTTTCTTTTGGTAGAGTAGTTTTGAAACACTCTTTTTGTAGAATCTACAAGTGCATATTTTCTTCCCTTTGAAGCCTATGTTGGAAAATGAAATATCTTCACATAAAAACTAGACAGAAGCATTCTCAGAAATTTCTTTATGATGTGTGCATTCAACTCACAGAGGGGAACCTTTCTTTTGATAGAGCATTTCTGAAACACTCTTTTTGTAAAACCTGCAAGTGGATATTTGGAGCGCTTTCAGGCCTATTGTGGAAAAAGCAATATCTTGACATAAAAGCTAGACAGAAGCATTCTCAGAAATTTCTTTGTGATCCGTGCATTCAACTCACAGAATTAAACATTTCTTCTGAGAGAGCGGGGTTTTGAAACCCTCTTTTTGTAGAAACTGCAAGTGGCTATTTTGTTCCCGTTGAGGCCTATGTTGGAAAGCGAAATATCTTCACATCAAAACTAGACAGAAGCATTCTCAGAGAATTCTTTGTGATGTGTGCATTCAAGTCACGGAGTTGAACCTTTCTTTTGATAGTGCAGTTTTGAAACATTATTTCTGTAGTATCTGCAAGTGGATATTTGGAGTGCTTTGAGGTCTTTGGTGCAAAAGGAAATATGTTTCAATAAAAATTAGACAGAATCATTCTCAGAAACTACTTCGTGATTTGTGCATGGAACTCACAGGGTTGAACCTTTCTTTTGATAGCGCAGTTTTGAAACAGTCTTTTTGTAGAATTTGCAGGGGATATTTGAGGGCTTTGAGGCCTACGGTGGAAAAGGATATATCTTCACATAAAAACTAGACAACATTTTTCTGAGACTTCTTTGTGATATGTGCATTCAACTCACAGTGTTGAACGCTTTTTTTGATAGAGCAGTTTGAAAACTCTCGTTTTTTAAAATCTGCAAGTGGATATATGGAGCGCTTTGAGGCCTATGGTGGAAAAAGAAATATCTTCAGGTAAAAAGTAGAATGAAGCATTCTCAGAAACTTCTTTGAGATGTGTGCATTCAACTCACAGAGATGTACACTTCTTTAGATAGAGCAGATTTGAAATACTCTTTTTGAAGGATCTATAGGTGGATATGCAGTTCCCTTTGAGGCATATGTTGAAAAATGAAATATCTTTACATAAGAAATAGACAGAAGCATTCTCAGAAACTTCATTTTGATGTGTGCATTCACCTCACAGCGTTGAACCTTTCTTTTGATAGAGCAGTTTTGAAACACTCCTTTTGCAGAATCTGCATGTGGACATTTTGAGCGCTTTGAAGCCTATGGTGGAAAAGGAAACATCTACACATAAAAACTAGACAGAATCATTCTCAGAAACTTCTTTGTGATGTGTGCATTCAACTCACAGAGTTGAACCTTTCATTTCAGAGAGCAGATTTGTTACACTCCTTTTGAAGAATCTTCAAGTGGATATTTGTTTCCCTTTGAGGCCTCTGTTGGAAAACGAAATATCTTTACATAAAAACTCGATAGAAGCATTCTCAGAAACTTCTTTGTGAAGTGTGCATTCAACTCACAGAGTTGAAACTTTCCTTGTTTGCGCAGTTATGAAACACGCTTTTTGTGCAATCTGCAAATGGATATTTGAAGCGCTTTGAGGCCTATGGTGGAAGAGGAAATATCTTCATTTTAAAACTGCATGGAAGCACTCTCAGAAAATACTTTGTGATACGTGCATTCAACTCACAGAGTTGAAGCTCTCTTTTGATAGAGCCGTTTTGAAACACTGTTTTTGTAGAATCTGCAAGCGGACATTGGCAGTGCTTTGAGGCCTATGCTTGAAAAGGAAATATCTTCACACAAAAACTAGACAGAAGCATTCTCAGAAACATCTTTCGGATGTGGGCATTCAACTCGCAGATTTAAACCTTTCTTTTGATAGAGCAGTTTTGAAACACTCTTTTTTTAGAAACTACCAATGGATATTTTGTTCCCGTTGAGGTCTATGTTGGGAAAGGAAATATCTTCACATAAAAAATAGACAGAAGCATTCTAAGAAACTTCTTTGTGATGTGCATTCGAATCACAGAGTTGAACTTTTCTTATGATAGAACAGTTGTGAAACACTCTTTTTGTATAATTCGCAAGTGGATATTTTGTTCCCTCTGAGGTCAGTGTTGGAAAATGAAATATCTTCACAGAAAAACTAGACAGAAGCATTCTCAAAAACTTATTTGTGATGTGTGCCTTCAACTCACAGAGTTGAACCTTTCTTTTGTAGAGCAGTTTTGAAACAGTCTTTTTGTAGAATCTGCAAGTGGATATTTCGTGCGCTTTGAGACCTCTGGTGGGAGAGGAAATATCTTCACATAAAAACTAAACAGAAGCATTCTCCGAAACTGTTTTTTGTTGTGTCTATTACACTCACAGAGTTGAGCATTTCTTTAGGTAGAACAGTTTGGAAACACTCTTTTTGTAGAATCTGAAAGTGGATATTTGGAGCGCTTTGAGGCTTATGGTGGAAAACGAAATATCTTCACATAAAAACTAGACAGAAGCATTCTCAGAAACTTCTTTGTGATGTGTGCACTCAAGTCACAGTGTAAAACGTTTCTTTTGATAGAGCAGCTGTGAAACACTCGTTTTGTAGACTATGTAAGTGGATATTTTGCTCCCTTTGAGGCCTGTGTTGGAAAACGAAATGTCTTCACATAAAAACTAGACAGAAGAATTCTCAAAAACATCTTTGTGATGTGTGCAATCAACTCACGGAATTGAAACTCTCTATTGATAGAACAGTTTGAAACACTCTTTTTGTAGAATCTGCAAGTGGACATTTGGAGCGTTTTGAGGCTTATGGTGGAAAAGGAAATAACTAAACATTAAAACTAGACAGAAGCCCTCTCGGAAACTTCTCTGTGATGTTTGCATTCAACTTACCGAATTGATCCTTTCTTTTGATAGAGCAGTTGTGAAACACTGGTTTTGTAGAATCTGCAAGTGGATACTTTGTTCCCTTTGAGGCCTGTGTTGGAAAACGGAATGTCTTCACATAGAAAATAGACAGAAGAATTCTCAGAAACATCTTTGTGATGTGTGCATTCAACTCACAGAGTTGAACCTTTCTATTGACAGAGCAGTTTGAAACACTCTTTTTGTAGAATCTGCAAGTGGACATTTGGAGCGTTTTGAGGCTTATGGTGGAAAGGGAAATAACTAAACATTAAAACTAGCCAGAAGCACTCTCGGAAACTTCTTTGTGACGTTTGCATTCATCTTACCGAGTTGATCCTTTCTTTCGATAGAGCAGTTTTGAAACACTCTATTTGTAGAATCTGTAAGTAGATATTTGTATCCCTTTGAGGCCTATGGTGGAAAACTAAATATCTTCACATGAAAACTAGACAGAAGCATTCTCAGAAACTCCTTTGTGATGTGCGCATTCAACTCACAGAGTTGAACCTTTCTTTTGACCGAGCAATTTGAAACACTCTTTTTGTAGAATCTGCAAACAGATATTTGGAGCACTTTCAGGCGAATGTTGGAAAAGGAAATCGATGCATATAAAAACTAGACAGAAGCATTCTCATAAACATCTTTCTGATGTGGGCATTCAGCTCGCAGATTTAAACCTTTCTTTTGATAGAGCAGTTTTCAAACCCTATTTTTGTAATATCTGCAAGTGAATATATGGACCGCTTTGAGGTCTGTGGTGGAAAAGGAAATAAGTTCATGTAAAAAATTAACAGGGGCATTCTCAGAAACTTCTTTGTGATATGTGCGTTCAACTCACAGAGATGTACTCTTCTTTTTATAGAGCAGATTTGAAACACTCTTTTTGAAGAATCTGTTGGTGGATATGCGGTTCCCTTCGAGGCATATGTTGGAACACGAAATATCTTTGCATAAGAAATAAACAGAAGCATTCTCAGAAACTTTGTTGTGATGTGTGCATTCAACTCACAGAGTTGAACCTTCTTTTGATAGAGCAGTTTTGAAACACTCCTTTTGTAGAATCTGCAAGTGGATATTTTTACGTCTATGAGGCCTGTGGTGGAAAAGAAAAATCTTCACATTAAAACGAGATAGAAGCATTCTCAGAAACTTCATTGTGATGTGTGCATTCAACTGACAGAGTTGTACACTTCTTTTGATAGAGCAGGTTTTGAAATACTCTTTTTGTAGAATCTGTAATTGCATATGTGGTTCCCTTTGAGGCCTATGTTGGAAAACGAAATATCTTCTCCAAAAACTACACAGAAGCATTCTCAGAGACTTCTTTGTGATGTGTGCATTCAACTCACAGTGTTGAACTTTATTTTCATAGAGGAATTTTGAAACGCTCTTTTGGTAGTATCTGCAAGTGGATATGTGATTCCCTTGAGGTCTATGTTGGAAAACGAAATATCTTCATATAAAAACTAGACAGAAGCATTCTCAGAAACTTCGTTGTGATGTGTGCATTCCAATCACAGAGTTGAACCTTTCTTTTGTAGAGCAGTTTTGAAACACTCTTTTTGTAGAGTCTGCAAGTGGATATTTGGAGTGCTTTGAGGCCTGTGTTGGAAAACGAAATATCTTCACATAAATACTAGACAGGAGCTTTCTCAGAAACTACTTTGTGATGTGTGCATTCAACTCACAAAGTTGAACTTTTCTTTTGATAGAGCAAGTTTGAAACTCTCTTTTTGTAGAATCTGCAAGTGGATATTTGGAAAGCTTTGAGGTCTATGGTGGAAAAGGAAATATCTTCACATAAAAACCAGACAGAAGCATTCTCCGAAACTTCTTTGTGACGTGTGCATTCATCTCACAGGATTGAACTTTTCTTTTGATGGAGGAGATTTGAAACACTCTTTTTGCAGAATCTACAAGTGGATATTTTGTTCTCTTTGTGGCCTATTTTGGATAAAGGGATATCTTCACAAAAACTAGACAGAAGCATTCTCCGAAATTTCTTTGTGATGTGTGCATTCAACTCACAGAGTTGAACCTTTCTTTTGATAGAGCAGTTTTGAAACACTCTTTCTGTAGAATCTGCAAGTCGATATTTTGATCACTTTGAGGCCTATATTAGGAAACGAAATATCTTCACTTTAAAACTAGACAGAAAAATTCTCAGAAACTTCTTTGTGATGTGTGCATTCAATTCACAGAGGTGAACTTTTCTTTTGGTAGAGTAGTTTTGAAACACTCTTTTTGTAGAATCTACAAGTGCATATTTTCTTCCCTTTGAAGCCTATGTTGGAAAATGAAATATCTTCACAAAAAAACTAGACAGAAGCATTCTCAAAAATTTCTTTATGATGTGTGCATTCAACTCACAGAGGTGTACCTTTCTTTTGATAGAGCATTTCTGAAACACTCTTTTTGTAAAATCTGCAAGTGGATATTTGGAGCGCTTTCAGGCCTATTGTGGAAAAAGCAATATCTTGACATAAAAGCTAGGCAGAAGCATTCTCAGAAATTTCTTTGTGACCCGTGCATTCAACTGACAGAATTAAACGTTTCTTCTGATACAGCGGGGTTTTGAAACACTCTTTTTGTAGAAACTGCAAGAGGATATTTTGTTCCCGTTGAGGCCTATGTTGGAAAGCGAAGTATCTTCACATAAAAACTAGACAGAAGCATTCTCAGAGAATTCTTTGTGATGTGTGTATTCAAGTCACAGAGTTGAACCTTTCTTTTGATAGTGCAGTTTTGAAACATTATTTTTGTAGTATCTGCAAGTGGATATTTGGAGCGCTTTGAGGCCTATGTTGGAAAAGGAATTATCTTCACTTTAAATCTAGACAGAAGCATTTTCAGAAACTTCCTTTTGGTGTGTAACTTCAACTCTCAGAATTGAACCATTCTTTCAATAGGTCAGTTTTGAAACACTTTTTGTATAGAATCTGCACGTGGATATTTGGTTCCCTTTGTGACCTATGTTGGAAAACGAAATATTTTCACGTAAAAACTATAAAGAAGTATTCTCAGAAAATTCTTTGTGATGTGTGCATTCAATTCACAGAGTTGAAATTATCTTTTGATTAAGCAGTTTAGAATCTCTGTTTTTGTAGATTCTGAAAGTGGATATTTGGAGCCCGTTGCACCCTATTGTAGAAAACGCAATATCTTCAAATAAAAACTACACAGAAGCTTTCCAAGAAACTTCATCGTGATGTGTGCATTCAACTCAGAGGTTTCAACCTATCTTTTGATGGAACAGTTTTGAATCTCTCTTTTTGTAGTATCTGCAATTGGATTTTTGAAGTGCTGTGAGGCCTACTGTGGAACATTGAATATGTTCACGTAAAAACTACTCAGAAACATATTGAGAAACTTCTTTCTGATGTGTGTATTCAATTCACAGAGTTGAAACTATCTTTTGATTGAGGAGTTTTTAAGCTAACTTTTTGCAGGATGTGAAAGTGGATATTTGGAGAGCTTTGAGGCCTATTGTGCAAAAAGGAAATACCTTCACATTAAAACTACACGGAAGCATTCTGAGAAAGTTATTTATGAGGTGTGCATTCAACTCACAGAGTTGACCTTATCTTCTCATTGAGCATTGCTGAATCTCCCTTTGTGTAGAATCTGCACGTGGATATGTGGAGCCCTTTTCGACCTGTGGTGGAAAAGGAAATATCTTCAAATAAAAACTACCCAGAAGCATTCTCAGAATCGTCTTCATGATGTGTGCATTCAACTCACAGAGTTCAACCTATCTTTTGATTGTGCAGTTTTGAATCTCACTTTTTGCAGTATCTGCAAGTAGATGTTTCGAGAGCTTTGAGTCCTATTGTGGAAAGGAAATATCTTCACATAAGAAATTCACAGAATGATTCTGAAAAACTTCTTTGTGAGGTGTCCATTGAACTCACAGAGTTGAACTTATCTTCTCATTAAACAGTTTTGAATCTCCCTTTTGTAGAATCTGCAAGTGGATATTTGGAGCCCTTTGAACATTTTGGTGGAAAAGGAAGTATCTTCAAATAAAAACTACAGAGAAGCATTCAGAGAAATTTCTTCCTGATGTCTGCATTCAACTGACAGAGTTGAACTTCTCTTTACATTGAGGAGCTTTGAATCTCTCTTTTTGCAGAATCTGCAGGTGGATATTTGGAGCTCTTTGAGGCCTACTGTGGAAAAGCAAATAACTTCATAGGAAAAGTACACAGAAACTTTCTGAGAAACTTCTTTGGGATGTGTGCATTCAACTGACAGAGTTGAACCTGTCTTTTGATTGAGCAGTTTTGAATCTCTCTTTGTGCAGAATCTACAAGTGGATATTTGGAGCCCTTTGCAGCCTATGGTGGAAAAGGAAATATCTTCACATAAAAACTAAACAGAAACTTTCTAAAAAACTGCTTTGTGATGTGTCCATTCATCTCAGAGAGTTGAAAATTTCTTTTGATTGAGCAGTTTTGAAACACTCTTTTTGTAGAATCTGCAAGTGGATAATTGGAGCCCTTTGAGTCTTGTTGTAGAAAAGGATATATCTTCACATAAAAACTAGTCAGAAGCATACTGAAAAACTTCTTTGTGATGTGTGCATTCAATACACAGAGTTGAACCTATCTTTTGATTGAGCAGATTTGTATTTCACTTTTTGTGGAATCTGAAAATGGATATTTGGAACCCTTTGTGCTCTATGGTGGGAAAGGAAATATCTTCAAATAAAAACTACACAGAGGCATTCTCAGAAACTTCTTTGTGATGTGTTTATTCAACTCACAGAGTTGAACATATCTTTTGATTGAAGAGTTTTGAATCTCTCTTTTTGTAGAATCTGCAAGTGGATATTTGGAGTGCTGTGAGGCCTACTGTAGAAAATCGAATATGTTCACATAAAAACTACACAGAAGCATGCTCAGCAGCTTCTTTGTGATGTGTGCATTCATCTCTCAGAGTTGAACCTATCTTATGATTGAGCAGTTTTGAAACACTCTTTTGTAGAATCTGCAAGTGGATAACTTTAGCACTTTGAGGCCTACCGTGGAAAAGCGAATATCTTCAGATAAAAAATACACAGAAGCATTCTGAGAAACTTCTTTGTGGTGTGTGTATTCATCTCACAGAGTTGAACCTTTCTTTTGATTGAGCAGTTTTTAAACAGTCTTTTTGTAAAATCTGCAAGTGGATATTTGGAACCCTTTGAGACCTATTGGGAAAAGGAAATATATTCACATAAAAACTAGACAGAAGCATTCTCAGAAACTTCTATGTGATGTGTGCATTCATCTCACGGAGTTGAACATTTCTTTTGATTGAACAGTTTTGAAACACTATTTTTGTGGAATCTGCAAGTGGATAGTTGGATAGCATTGTGGTCTAATGTGGAAAAGGAAATATCTTCATATAAAAACTACACAGAAGCATTCTGAGAAACTTCTTTGTGATGTGTGCATTCAACACAGACAGTTGAACCTGTCTTTTGATTGAGCAGCTTAGAATCTCTCTTTTTGTAGAATCTGCAAGTGGATATTTGGAGCGCTTTGAGGCCTACCTTGGAAAAGCAAATATCTCCAGATAAAAACTACACAGAAGCATTCTGAGAAACTTCTTTGTGAGGTGTGCATTCATCTCACAGAGTTGAACCTTTCTTTTGATTGAGCAGTTTTGAACAGTTTTTTTGTAGAATTTGCAAGTGGATATTAGTAGCCCTTTGAGACCTATTGGGAAAAGGAAATATCTTCACATAAAAACTACACAGAAGCATTCTCAGAAACTTCTTTGTGATGTGTGCATTCATCTCACAGATTTGAAACTTTCTTTTGACTGAGCAGTTTTGAAACAATATTTTTGTAGAATCTGCAAGAGGATAGTTGGAGACCTTTGAGGCCTAATGTGGAAAAGGAAATATCTTCTCATAAAAGCTACTCAGAAGCATTCTTAGCTACTTCTTTGTGATGTGTGCATTCAACACACAGAGTTGATCCTATCTTTTGATTGAGCAGTTTAGAATCTCTCTTTTTGTAGAATCTGCAAGTGGATAATTGGAGCCCTTTGAAGCCTATTGTGGGAAAGGAAATATCTTCACATAAAAACTACACCGAATCATTCTGAGAAACTTCTGTGTGATGTGTACATTCATCTCACAGAGTGGAACCTTTCTTTTGATTGAGCAGTTCTGAAACACTGTTTTTGTAAAATCTGCAAGGGGATAATTGGATCCCTTTGAGGCCTATTGTGGAAAAGGGAATAACTTCTCATAAAAGCTACTCAGAAGCATTCTGAGCAACTTCTTTGTTATGTGTGCATTCAACACACAGAGTTGATCCTATCTTTTGATTGACCAGTTTAGAATCTCTCTTTTTGTAGAATCTGCAAGTGGATATTTGGAGCGCTTCGAGGCCTACCGTGGTAAAACAAATATCTTCAGATTAAAACTACACTGAAGCATTCTAAGAAACTTCTTTTTGTTGTGTGTGTTCATCTCACAGAGTTGAAACTTTCTTTTGATTGAGCAGTTTTGAAACACTCTTTTTGGACAATCTGCAAGTGGATAATTGGAGCCCTTTGAAGCCTATTGTGGAAAAGGAAATATCTTCACATAAAAACTACACAGAATCATTCTGAGAAACTTCTGTGTGATGTGTGCATTCATATCACAGAGTGGAACCTTTCTTTTGATGGAGCAGTTTTGAAACACTATTTTTGTAAAATCTGCAAGAGGATAATTGGATCCCTTTGAGGCCTATTGTGGAAAAGGGAATATCTTCTCATAAAAGCTACTCAGAAGCATTCTGGGCAACTTCTTTGTGATGTGTGCATTCACCTACCAGAGTTGAACCTTTCTTTCGATTGAGCAGTTTGAATCTCTCTTTTTGTAGAATCTGCAAGTGGATATTTGGAGCCCTTTGCACCCTATGGTGGAAAAGGAAATGTCTTCAAATAAAAACTACACAGTAGCATTCAGAGAAATTTCTTTGTGATGTGTGCATTCAACTCACAGAGTTCAACCTATCTTTTCATTGAGCAGTTTTGAATCTCTCTTTTTGCAGAATCTGCAGGTGGACATTTGGAGCTCTTTGTGGCCCACTGTGGAAAGCAAATAACTTCACATAAAAACTACACAGAAACATTCTGAGAAACTTCTTTGGGATGTGTGCATTCAACTCACAGGTTTGAACCTGTCTTTTGATTGAGGCAGTTTTGAATCTCTCTTTTTGCAGAATCTGCAAGTGGATATTTGGAGCCCTTTGTTGCCTATGGTTGAAAAGGAAATATCTTCAATTAAAAACTACAGAGAAACATTCTGAGAAACTTCTTTTGATGTGTGCATTCATCTCACAGGTTTGAACCTATCTTTTGATTGAGCAGTTTTGAAACACTCTTTTTTTAGAATCTGCAAGTGGATATTTGGAGCGTTTTGAGGCGTAACGTGGAAAAGCAAATATCTTCAGATAAAAACTACACAGAATTGATTTTCGTATAAGGTGTAAGGAAGGGATCCAGTTTCAGCTTTTTACATATGGCTAGCCAGTTTTCCCAGCAACATTTATTAAATAGGGAATCCTTTCCCCATTGCTTGTTTTTCTCGGGTTTGTGAAAGATCAGATAGTTGTAGTTCTGCGGCATTATTTCTGAGGGCTCTGTTCTGTTCCATTGATCTATATCTCTGTTTTGGTACCAGTACCATGCTGTTTTGGTTACTGTTGTCTTGTAGTACAGTTTGAAGTCAGGTAGTGTGATGCCTCCAGCTTTGTCCTTTTGGCTTAGTATTGACTTGGTGATGGGGGCTCTTTTTTGGTTCCTTATGAACATTAAATTAGTTTTTTCCAATTCTGTGAAGAAAGTCATTGGCAGCTTGATGGGGATGGCATTGAATCTATAAATTACCTTGGGCAGTATGGCCATTTTCATGATATTGATTCTTCCTACCCACGATCGTGCAATGTTCTTCCATTTGTTTGTATCCTCTTTTATTTCATTGAGCAGTGGTTTGTAGTTCTCCTTGAAGAGGTCCTTCACGTCCCTTGCAAGTTGGATTCCTAGGTATTTTATTCTCTTTGAAGCAATTGTGAAAGGGATTTCACTCGTGATTTGGCTCTTTTTCTGTTATTGTTGTATAGGAATGCTTGTGATTTTTGTACTTTGATTTTGTATCCTGAGACTTTGCTGAAGTTGCTTATCAGCTTAAGGAGATTTTGGGCTGAGACAATGGGGTTTTCTAGATATGCAACCATGTCGTCTGCAAACAGGGACAATTCGACTTCCTCTTTTCCTAATTGAATACCCCTTATTTCCTTCTCCTGCCTAATTGCCCTGGCCAGAACTTCCAACACTATGTTGAGTAGGACTGGTGAGAGAGGGCAACCCTGTCTTGTGCCAGTTTTCAAAGGGAATGCCTCCAGTTTTTGCCCATTCAGTATGATATTGGCTGTGGGTTTGTCATAGAGAGCTCTTATTATTTTGAGATACATCCCATCAATACCTAATTTATTGAGAGTTTTTAGCATGAAGCGTTGTTGAATTTTGTCAAAGGCCTTTTCTGCATCTATTGAGATAATCATGTGGTTCTTGTCTTTGGTTCTGTTTATATGCTGGATTACATTTATTGATTTGCATATATTGAACCAGCCTTGCATCCCAGGGATGAAGCCCACTTGATCATGTTGGATAAGCTTTTTGATGTACTGCTGGATTCGGTTTGCCAGTATGTTATTGAGGATTTTTGCATCAATGTTCATCAATTCAAGATGGATTAAAGACTTAAACGTTAGACCTAAAGCCATAAAAACCCTAGAAGAAAACCTAGGCATTACCATTCAGGACATAGGCATGGGCAAGGACTTCATGTCTAAAACACCAAAAGCAATGACAACAAAAACCAAAATTGACAAATGGGATGTAATTAAACTAAAGAGCTTCTGCACAGCAAAAGAAACTATCATCAGAGTGAAGAGACAACCCATAAAATGGGAGAAAATTTTCCCAACCTACTCATCTGACAAAGGGCTAATATCCAGAATCTACAATGAACTCAAACAAATTTACAAGAAAAAAACAAACAACCCCATCAAAAAGTGGGCAAAGGACATGAACAGACACTTCTCAAAAGAAGACATTTATGCAGCCAAAAAACACGTGAAAAGATGCTCACCATCACTGGCCATCAGAGAAATGCAAATCAAAACCACAATGAGATATCATCTCACACTGTTAGAATGGCAATTATTAAAAAGTCAGGAAACAATAGGTCCTGGAGAGGATGTGGAGAAAAAGAAACAATTTTACACTGTTTGTAAGACTGTAAACTAGTTCAACCATTGTGGAAGTCCGTGTGGCGATTCCTTAGGGATCTAGAACTAGAAATACCATTTGACCCAGCCATCCCATTACTGGGTATATACCCAAAGGACTATAAATCATGCTGCTATAAGGACACATGCACACATATGTTTATTGTGGCACTATTCACAATAGCAAAGATTTGGACCAACCCAAATGTCCAATAATGATAGACGATTAAGAATATGTGGCACCTATACACCATGGAATACTACGCAGCCATAAAAAATGATGAGTTCATGTCCTTTGTAGGAACATGCGTGAAATTGGAAATCATCATTCTCAGTAAACTATCACAAGAACAAAAAACCAAAGACCGCATATTCTCACTTATAGGTGAGAATTGAACAATGAGAACATATGGACACAGGAAGGGGAACATCACACTCTGGGGATGGTTGTGGAATGGGGGGAGGGTGTGGGATAGCATTGTGAGATATAACTAATGCTAGATGACGAGTTATTGGGTGCAGCGAACCAGAATGGCACATGTATACATATGTAACTAACCTGCACATTGTACACATGTACCCTAAAACTTAAAGTATAACAAAAATCAAATATGTAAATAAATAAATAAATAAACAAATAATATAAAAAATAAAAAAATAAAAACTACACGGAAGCATTCTGAGAAACATCTTTGTGATGTGCTCATTCCTCTCACAGAGTTGAACCTTTCTATTGATTAAGCAGCTTTGAACCACTCTTTGTGTAGAATCTGCGAGTGGATATTTGGAGCCCTTTGAGGCCTGTTGTGGAAAAGGAAATATCTTCACATAAAAACTACACAGAAGCATTCTGAGAAACTTCTTTAAAATGTGTGCATTCATCTCACAGAGTTGAACCTAACTTTTGCTTGAGCAATTTTGAATCTCTCTTTTGGAAAATCTGCAAGTGGATATTAGGAACCCTTGGTGTCCTATGGTGGAAAAAGAAATATCTTCAAATAAAAACTACACAGAAGCATTCTCAGAAACTTCTTCATGATGTCTGCATTCAACTCACAGAGTTGAAACTTACTTTTGATTGAGCAGTTTTGAATCTCTCTTTTTGCAGAATCTGGAAGTGTATGCTGGGAGAGCTTTGAGGGCTATTGTTGAAAAGGAAATATCTTCACAAGAGAACTACACAGAAGCATTCTGAGAAACCTCTTTGTGAGGTGTGCATTCAGCTCACAGAGTTGAACTTATCTTCGCACTGAGCAGTTTTTAATGTCTCTTTTTGTAGAATCTGCAAGTGCATAATTGGAGCCCTTTGTGGCCTATCGTGGAAAACGAAATATCTCCAAATAAAAACTACACAGAAGCATTCGCAGAAACTTCCTCGTGATGAATGCATTCAACTCACAGAGTTGAACTTATCTTTTGATTGAGCAGTTTTGAATGTCTCTTTTTGCAGAATCTGCAGGTGGATATTTGGAGCTCTTTGAAACCTAATGTGGAAAAGCAAATATCTTCACATAAAAACTACACAGAAGAATTCTGAGAAACTTCTTTAGTATGTGTGCATTCAACTCACAGAGTTGATCCTATCTTTTGATTGAGCAGGTTTGAATCTCCCTTTCTGCAGAATCTGCAAGTGGATATTTGGAGCCCTTTGGGGCCTATGGTGGAAAAGGAATTATCTTCAAATAAATACTACACAGAAACATTCTGAGAAACATCTACGTGATGTGTGCATTCTTCTCAAAGTGCTGAACCTATCTTATGATTGAGCAGTTTAGAAACACTCTTTTTGGAGAATCTGTAAGTGGATATTTGGAGTGCTTAGTGGCCTACTGTGGAAAAGCAAATATCTTCACATAAAAACTAGACAGAAGCATTCTCAGAAACTCCTTTGTGATGTGCGCATTCAACTTTCAGAGTTGAAACTTTCTTTTCATAGAGCTGTTTTGAAACACTCTTTTTGTAGAGTCTGCAAATGGATATTTTGAGCGCTTTGAGGCCTATGGTGGAAAATAAATTATCTTCACATAATCACTAGACAGAATCATTCTCAGAAACTTCTTTGTGATGTGTGCATTCAACTCACAGAGTTGAACCTTTCTTTTGATAGAGCAGTTTGAAACACTCTTTTTGTAGAATCTGCAGGTGGATACTTGGTTCCCTGTGAAGTCTATGTTGGAAAATGAAATATCTTCACTTAAAAACTAGACAGAAGCAATCTCAGAAACGTCTTTGTGATGTGTGCATTCAACTCACAGAGTTGAACGTTTCTTTTGATACAGCTGTTTTCAAACACTCTTTTTGTAGAATCTGCAAGTGGATATTTGGTTCCCATTGAGGACTATGTTGGAAAAGGAAATACCTTCACATAAAAACTAGAAAGATTTCTCAGAAACTTCTTCGTGTTGTGTGCATTCAACTCATAGAGTTTAACCTTTCTTTTGATAGACCAGTTTTGAAACACTCTTTTGTAGAATCTGCAAGTGGATATTTGGAGCGCTTTGAGGCCTATGGTGGAAAAGAAAATATCTTGACATAAAATATAGACAGAAGCATTCTCACATACTTCTTTGTAATGCGTGCATTCAACTCACAGAGTTGAACCTTTCTTTTGATAGAGCAGTTTTGAAACACTGTTTTTGCAGAATCTGCAAGTGGATATTTGGAGCCCTTTGAGGCCTATGGTGGAAAAGGAAATATCTTGATATAAAAACTAGACAGAAGCATTCTCAGAAACTTCTTTGTGATGTGTGCATTCAACTCACAGAGTTTAACCTTTCTTTTGATACAGCAGATTTGAAACACTGTTTTTGTAGTATCTGTAATTGGATATTTGGAGTGCTTTGAGGCCTATGGTGGAAAAGGAAATATCTTGACATAAAAACTAGACAGAAGCATTCTCAGATACTTCTTTGTAATGTGTGCATTTAGCTCACAGAGTTGAACCTTTCTTTTGATAGACCAGTTTTGAAACACTCTTTTTGTAGAATCTGCAAATAGATATTTGGAGCGTTTTGAGGCCTATGGTGGAAAAGGAATGTCTTCATATAAACACGATACAGAAGCATTCTAAGAAACTTCTTTGCGATGTGTGCATTCAACTCACAGTGTCGGGCCTTTCTTTTGATAGAGCAGCTTTGAAACACTCTTTCTGTAGAATCTGCAATTGGATATTTGGACAGATTTGAAGCCTATGGTGAAAAAGGAAATATCTTCACATAAAAACTAGACAGAAGCATTCTCAGAAATTTCTTTGTGATGTGTGCATTCAACTCACAGAGTTGAACCCATCTTTTGATACTGTAGTTTTGAAACAAACATTTTGTAGAATCTGCAAGGGGGTAATTGGAGCCTTTAGAGGTCTATGGTGGAAAAGGGAATTTCTACACATAAATAGTAGACACAAGCATTCTCCGAAACTTCTTCATGATGTGTGCATTCAACTCACAGAGTTGAACCTTTCTTTTCATAGAGCAATTTGGAACACTCTTTTTGTAGACTCTGCAAGTGGGTAATTGGTTCCCTTTAAGGCCTATGTTAGAAAAGGAAATATCTACACGTAAAAACTAGACAAAAGCATTCTCAGAAACTTCTTTGTGATGAGTGCATTCAACTCACAGAGTTTAACCTTTCTTTTGATAGAGCAGATTTGAAATACTCTTTTTGGAGAATCTGCAAGTGGATATTTGGAGTCTATTAAGGCCTATTGTGGAAAAGGAAATATCTTCAGAGAAAAACTACACAGAAGCATTCGGAGAAACTTCTTTTTGATGTGTTCATTCACCTCACAGAGTTGAACCTTTCTTTTGATTTAGCAGTTTTGACGCACTCTTTTTGTAGAATCTGCAAGTGGATAGTTGGAGACCTTTGAGGCCTAATGTGGAAAAGGAAATATCTTCACATAAAAACTACACAGAAGCATTGTGAAAAACTTCGTTGTGATGTGTGCATTAAACACACAGAGTTGAACATATCTTTTGATTGAACAGGTTATAATCTCTCATTTGTAGAATCTGCAAGTAAATATTTGGAGCACTTTGAAGCCTACCGTGGAAAAGCAAATATCTTCAGATTAAAACTACACAGAAGCATTCTGAGACACTTATTTGTGATGTGTGCATTCATCTCACAGATTTGAACCTTTCTTTTGTTTGAGCAGTTTTGAAACAGTCTTTCTGTAGAATCTACAAGTGGATATTTGGAGCTCTTTGAGACCTAATGGGAAAAGGAAATATCTTCACATAAAAACTACACAGAAATATTCTGAGAAAGTTCTTTGTGATGTGTGCAATCATCTGATAGGCTTGAACCTATCTTATGATTGAGCAGTTTTGAAATACTCTTTTTGTAGAATCTGTAAGAGGATATGTGGAGAGCTTTGTGGCCTACCATGGAAAGACAAATATCTTCACATAAAAACTCTCCTTAAGCTGATAAGCAACTTCAGCAAAGTCTCAGGATACAAAATCAATGTACAAAAATCACAAGCATTCTTATACACCAACTACACTGAACCATTCTCAGAAACTTCTTCATAATGTGTGCATTCAACTCACAGACTTGAAACTATCTTTAGATTGAGCAGTTATGAATCTCTCTTTTTGTAGACTCTGCACTTGGATACTTGGAGTGCTGTGAGGCCTACTGTGGAAAATCAAATATGTTCATATAAAAACTACACAGAAGCATTCTGAGAAACTTCTTTGGGATGTGTGCATTCCACTCACAGTGTTGAACTTATCTTCTCATTGAGCAGTTTTGAATCTCTCTTTTTGCAGAATCTGCAAGTGCATATTTGTAGCCCTTTGTGACCTATGGTGGAAAAGGGAATGTCTTCAAGGATAAACTAGACAGAAGCATTGAGAGAATCTTCTTTGTGATGTATGCATTCACCTCACAGAGTTGAACATATATTTTGATTGATAAGTTTCGAATCTCTCTTTTTGCAGAATCTGCAGTTGGATATTTTGAGCCCTTAGAGATCTACTGTGGAAAAGCAAATATCTTCACATAAAAACTGCACAGAAGCATTCTGAGAAACTTCTTTGGGTTGTGTGCCTTCAGCTCTCAGAGTTGAACATATCTTTTGATTGATAAGTTTCGAATTTCTCTTTTTGCAGAATCTGCAGTTGGATATTTGGAGCCCTTAGAGACCTACTGTGGAAAACCAAATATCTTCACATAAAAACTGCACAGAAGCATTCTGAGAAACTTCTTTGGGTTGTGTGCCTTCAACTCTCAGAGATGAACCTATCTTTTGATTGAGCAGTTTTCAATCTCTCTTTTGCAGAATCTGCAAGTGGATATTTGGAGCCCTTTTCACCCAATGGTGGAAAAGGAAATATCTTCACATAAAAACTACACAGGAAGATTCTGAGAAACTACTTTGTGATGACTGCATTCATTTCACAGTTTTGAAGGTATCTTATCATTGAGAAATTTGGAAAAACTCTTTTTGCAGAATCTGCAGGTGGATATTTGGAGCACCTTGAGTCCCAATGTGGAAAGGCAAATATCTTCAGATAAATAATACACAGAAGCATTCTCAGAAACTTCTTTGTGATGTCGGCATTCATCTAACAGAGTTGAACCTATATTTTGATTGAGCAATTTTTAATCTCTCTTTTTGCAGGATCTGCAGGTGGATGTTTGGAGCACCTTGGGGCCTACCATGGAAAAGCAAATATATTAAAATAGAAGCTACACAGAAGCATTCTGAGAAACTTATTTTTGATGCGTGCATTCATCTCACAGAGTTGGACCTTTCTTTTGATTTAGCAGTTTTGAAACACTGTTTTTACAGAATCTGCAAGGGGATATTTGGAGCCCTTTGTGGCCTATTGTGAAAAATGAAATATCTTCAGATAAAAACTACACAGAAACATTCTGAGAAACTTCTTAGGGATGTGTGCATTCATCTCACAGGGTTGAACCTACCTTATGATTGAGCAGTTTTGAAACACTCTTTTGTAGAATCTGCAAGTGGATATTTGGAGCTCTTTGAGGCCTACCGTGGAAAAGCAAATATCTTCACATAAAAACTATAAAGAAGCAATTCTGAGAAACTTCTTTGTGATGTGTGCATTGAAATCACAGAGTTGAACCTATCTTTTGATTGGGCAGTTTTGAATCTCTCTTTTTGTAGAATCTGCAAGTGGATATTTGGATCCCTTTGAGGCCTATTGGGAAAAGGAAATATCTTCACATAAAAACTACACAGAAGCATTCTGAGAAACTTCTTTGTCATGTGTGCATTCGTCTCACAGTGTTGAACCTTTCTTTTCTTTGAGCAGTTTTGAAACACTCTTTTTGGAAAAATTGCAAGTGGATATTTGGATCCCTTTGAGGCATATTGTGGAAAAGGAAATATCTTCACATAAAAACTACTCAGAAGCATTGTGAGAAACTTCTTTGGGATGTGTGCATTCAATACACAGAGTTGAACCTATCTTTTGATTGAGCAGTTTTGAATCTCTCTTTTTGTAGAATCTGCAAGTGGATATTTGGAGCCCTTTGGGTTCTATGATGGAAAAGGAAATATCTTCAAATAAAAACAACACAGAAGCATTCTCAGAAACTTCTTCATAATGTGTGCATTCAATTCACAGAGTTGAACTTATCTTTTGGTTGAAGAGTTTCAAATCTCTCTTTTTGTAAAATCTGCAAGTGGATATTTGGAGCGCTGTGAGGCCTACTGTTGAAAATCGAATATGTTCACATAAAAGCTACACAGACGCATTCTGAGAAACTTCTTTGTGATGTGTGCATTTAAGTCTCAGAGTTGAACTTATATTTTCATTGAGCAGTTTTGAATCTCTCTATTTGCAGAGTCTGCAGGTGGATATTTGGAGTCCTTGGAGGACTAATGTGGAATAGCAAATACCTTCTTATAAAAACTATGCAGAAGCATTCTCAGAAACTTCTTTGGGATGTGTGCATTCATCTCACAGAGTTGAACCTTTCTTTTGATTGAGCAGTTTTGATACTCTCTTTTTGTAGAATCTGCAAGTGGATATTTAGAACCCTTTGCACATTTTAATGGAAAGGGAAGTATCTTCAAATAAAAACTACACAGAGACATTCAGAGAAACTTCTCTGTGATGTATGCATTCAACTCACAGAGTTGAAGCTATCTTTTGATTGAGCAGTTTGGAATCTCTCCTTTTGCAGAATCTGCAGGTGGATATTTGGAACCCTTTGAGGCCTACTGTGGAAAAGCAAATATTTTCACATAAAAACTATACAGAAGCATTCTGAGAAACTACTTTCTGATGTGTGCATTCAACTCACAGAGTTGAACCTGTCTTTTGATTGAACAGTTTGAATCTCTCTTTTTGCAGAATCTGTAAGTGGATATTTGTAGCCCTTTGTGGCCTAAGGTGGAAGAGGAAATATCTTCAAATAAAAACTACACTGAAATATTCTGAGAACCTTATTTAGATTTGTACACTCATCTCACAGGGTTGAACATATCTTATGATTGAGCAGTTTTGTAACCCTTTTTTTGTAAAATCTGCAATTGGATAATTGGAGCCCTTTGAGGCCTATTGCAGAAAAGGAAATATCTTCACATAAAAACTATTCAGAAAGATTCTGAGAAACTTCTTTGTGATGTGTGCATTCAACTCCCAAAGTTGAAGCTTCTTTTGATTGAGCAGTTTAGAATATCTGTTTTTGTAGACTCTGCAAGTGGATATTTGGAGCCCTTTGTGCCCTATTGTGGAAAAGGAAATATCTTCAAGTAAAAACTACACAGAAGCATTCTGAGAAACTCCTTTGTGAGGTGTGCATCCAACACACAGATTTGAATTTATCTTCTCATTGAACAGTTTTGAATCTCTCTCTTTGTAGAATCTGCAAGTGGATATTTGCAGCCCTTTTCACCCAATGGTGGAAAAGGAAATATCTTTAAATAAATACTACACAGAAGCATTCAGAGAAACTTCTTTCTGATGTATGCATTCAACTCACAGAGTTGAACCTATCTTTTGATTGAGCAAGTTTGAGTCTCTCTTTTTGCAGAATCTGCAGGTGGATATTTGGAGCCCTGTGAGGCCTACTGTGGAAAAGCAAATAACTTTACCTAAAAACCACACAGAAGCATTTTGAGAAACTTCTTTGTGATGTGTGCATTAATCTCACAGGGTTGAACTTATCTTATGATTGATCGGTTTTGAAATACACTTTTTGTAGAATCTGCAAGTGGATATTTGGAGCGCTTTGAGGCCTACCGTAGAAAAGCAAATATCTTCAGATAAAAACTACACAGAAGCATTCTGAGAAACTTATTTTTGATGCGTGCATTCATCTCACAGAGTTGGACCTTTCTTTTGATTTAGCAGTTTTGAAACACTGTTTTTACATAATCTGCAAGGGGATATTTGGAGCCCTTTTTGCCCTATAGTTGAAAGGAAAATATCTTCAAATAAAAACTACACAGAAGCATTCTCAGAAACTTCATTGTGATGTGTGCATTCAACTCACAGAGTTCAACCTATCTTTTGATTGAGCAGTTTTGAATTTCTCTTTTTGTAAATTCTGCAAGTGGATATTGTGGCGCTGTAAAGCTTACTTTGGAAAATCAAATATGTTCACATAAAAACTACACAGAAGCATTCTGAGAAACTTCTTTCTGATGTGTGCATTCAACTCACAGAGTTGAACCTTTCTTTTTATTGAGCAGTTTGGAATCCTCTTTTTGCAGAATCTGCAAGTGGATGTTTGGAGAACTTTCAGGCCTATTGTGGAAAAGCAAATATCTTCACATAAAGACTGCATAGAAACATTCTGAGAAACTCCTTTGTGAAGTGTGCATTTAACACCCATAGTTGAACTTATCTTCTCATTGAGCAGTTTTGAGTCTCTCTTTTTGAAGAATCTGCAAGTGGATATTTGGAGCCCTTTGCGCCCTGTGGTGGAAAAGGATATATCTTCAAATAAAAACGACACAGTAGCATTCAGAGAAACTTCTTTGGGATGTGTGCATTCAGATCACACAATTGAACCTATCTTTTGATTGAGCAGTTTAGAGTCTCTCCTTTTGCAGAATATGCAGGTGGATATTTGGAGCCCTTTGAGGTCTACTGAGTAAAAGCAAATATCTTCACATAAAAAGTACACTGAATCATTATGAGAAACTTCTTTGGGATGTGTGTGTTCACCTCACAGAGTTGAACCTATCTTTTGATTAAGCAGTTTTGAATCTCTCTTTTTGAAGTATCTGCAAGTGGATATTTGGAGCCCTTTGTTGTCTATGGTGGAAAAGGAAATATCTTCAAATAAAAACTAAACAGAAACATTCTGGGAAAATTTTTTGTGATGTTTGCATTCATCTTACGTGGTTGAACATATCTTGTGATTGAGCAGTTTTGAAACTCTCTTTTTGTAGAATCTGCAAGTTGATATTTGGAGCGCTTTGAGGCCTGCAGTGGAAAAGCAAATATCTTCAGATTAAAACTACTCAGAAGCATTCTGAGAAACTTCTTTGTGATGTGCGCATTCATCTCACAGAGTTGAACATTTCTTTTGTTTGAGCAGTTTTGAAACACTCTTTTTGTAGTAGCTGCAAGTGGATATTTGGAGCCCTTTGAGGCCTATTGTTTAAAAGCAAATATCTTCATACGAAAACTACCCAGAAGCATTCTGAGAAACTTCTTTGTGATGTGTACATTCATCACACAGAGGTGAACCTTTCTATTGATTGAGCAATATTGTAACACTCTTTTTGTAGAATCTGAAATGGATATTTGGAGCACTTTGCAGCCTATTATGGAAAAGGAAATATCTTCACATAAAAACTACACAGAAGCATTGTGAGAAACTTCTTTTTGATGTGTGCATTCATCTAGCAGAGTTGAAACTTTCTTTAGATTGAGTAGTTTTGAAACACTCTTTTTGTAGAATCCGCAATTGGTAATTGGAGCCCTTTGAGGCCTGTTGTGGAAAAGGACATATCTTCACTTAAAAACTACTCGGAAGCATTCGGAGAAACTTCTTTCTGATGTGTCCATTCAACTCACAGAGTTGAACCTATCTTTTGTTTGAGCAGTTTAGAATCTCTCTCTTAGTAGAATCTGCAAGAGGATATTTGGAGCCCTGTGAGGCCTATTGTGGAAAAGAAAATATCTTTAAATAAAATCTACACAGAAGCATTCTCAGAATCTTCTTCGTGATGTGTGCATTCAACTCACAGAGTTTAAGCTATCTTTTGATTGTGCAGATTTGAATCTCTCTTTTTGTAGAATCTGCCAGTGGATATTTGGAGCACTGTGAGGCCTACAGTGGAAAATCAAATATGTTCACATAAAAGCTACACAGAAGCATTCTGAGAAACTTTTTGTGATGTGTGCATTCAACTCACCGAGTTGAACCTGTCTTTGGATTGAGCATTTTTGAATCCCTCTTTTTGCAGAATCTGCAAGTGGATGCTTGGAGAGCTTTGAGGCCTATTGTGGAAAAGGAAATATCTTCACATAAAAACTACACCGAATCATTCAGAGAAACTACTTTGTGAGGTGTGCATTGAACTCACAGTGTTGAACTTATCTTCTCACTGAACAGCTTTGAATTTCTCTTTTTGTAGAATCTGCAAGTGGATATTTGGAGCCATTTGCAACCTATGGTGGAAAGGGAACTATCTTCAAATAAAAACTACACAGAAGCATTCAGATAAACTTCTTTGTGATGTATGCATTCAACTCACAGAGTTGAACCTATCATTCAGTTGAGCAGTTTTGAATCTCTCTTTTTGCAGAATCTGAGGGTGGATATTTGGAGCACTTTGAGGACTACTGTGGAAAGAAAATACCTTCACATAAAAACTACACAGAAGCATTCTGAGAAACTTTTTGGGATGTGTGCATTCATCTCACAGAGTTGAACTTCTCTTTTCATTGAGCAGTTTTGAAACACTCTCTTTGTAGATCTGCAAGTGGATATCTTGAGCCCATCGAGACCTATTGTGTAAAAGGAAATATCTTCACATAAAAACTACACAGAAGCATTCTGAGAAACTCCTTTGTGATGTGTGCCTTCATCTCACAGAGTTGAACTTTTCTTTAGATTGAGCAGTTTCGAAATATCCTTTTTGTAGAATCTGCAAGTGGATAATTGGAGCCCTTTGAGGCCTATTGTGGAAAAGGAAATACCTTCACATAAAAACTACTCAGAAGCATTCTTAGAAACATCCTTGTGATGTGTGCATTCAACTCACAGAGTTGAGCCTATGTTTTCTTTGAGCAGTTTAGAATATCTCTTTTTGTAGAATCTGCAAGTGGATATTTGGAGCCCTTTGCGCCCTATGGTGGAAAAGGAAATATCTTCAAATAAAAACTACACAGAAGCATTCAGAGAAACTTCTTTGTGATGTACGCATTCAACCCACGGAGTTGAACCTATCTTATGATTGAGCAGTTTTGAATCTCTCTTTTTGTAGTATCTGCTAGTGGATATTTGGAGCACTGTGAGGCCTACTGTGGAAAATCGAACATGTTCACATAAAACCTACACCGAAGCATTGTGAGAAACTTCTTTGTGAGGCGTGCATTCAACTTGTAGAGTTGAACTTATCTTCCGAATGAGAAGTTTTGAATCTCTCTTTTTGTAGAATCTGCAAGTTGATATTTGGAGCCCTTTGTGCCCTATGGTGGAAAAGGAAATATCTTCAAATAAAAACTACACAGAAGCAATTTGAGAAACTTCTTTTTGATGTGTGCATTCATCTCACAGAGTTGAACCTTTCTTTTGATTGATCATTTTTGAATCTCTCTTTTTGCAGAATGTGCAAGGGGATATTTAGAGCCCTTTTGGGCCTATGGTGGATAAGGAAATATCTTCAAATAAAAACTACACTGAAACATTCTGAGAAACTTCTTTGTGAAGTGTGTATTCATCTCACAAGGTTGAACCTATATTATGATTGAACAGTTTTGAAACACTTTTTTTGTAGAACCTGCAAGTGGATATTTGGAGCGCTTTGAGGCCTACCGTGGGAAAGCAAATATCTTCAGATAAAAAATACACAGAAGCATTCTGAGAAACTTCTTTGTGATGTGTGCATTCATCTCACAGAGTTGAACCTTTCTTTTGATTGAGCAGTTTTGAAACACTCTTTTTGTAGAATCTACAAGTGGATAATTGGAGCCCTTTGAAGCCTATTGTGGAAAAGGAAATATCTTCACATAAAAACTACTCAGAGGCATTCTGAGAAAATTCTTTGTGAGGAGTGCATTCGACTTGCAGAGTTGAAGTTATCTTCTCATTGAGCAGTTTTATATCTCTCTTTTTGTAGAATCTGCAAGTGAATATTTGAAGCCCTTTCTGCCCTATGGTGGAAAAGTAAATATTTTCAAATAAAAACTACGCAGAAGCATTCAGAGAAACTTCTTCATGATGTGTGTGTTCAACTCACAGAGTTGAACATTTCTTTTGATTGAGCACTTTTGAAACACTCTTTCTGTAGAATCTGGAATTGGATTTTTGGAGGGCTTTGAGGCTATTGGAAAAGGAAATATCTTCACATAAAAACTACACAGAAGCATTGTGAGAAACTCCTTTATGTGTGCATTCAACTCACAGATTTGAACTTATCTTCTAATTGAGTTGTTTTGGATCTCTCTTTTTGCAGAATCTGCAAAAGTTTTTTTGGAGAGCTTTGAGACCTACTGTGAAAATCAAATATCTTCACATAAAAACTTCCCAGAAGCATTCAGAGAAACTACTTTGTGATGAGTGCATTCATCACACACAGTTGAACACTTCCTTTGATTGAGCTTTTTTGAAACACTCTTTTTGTAGAATCTGGAAGCGAATATTTGAAGAGCTTCGGGCCTATTTTGGAAAAGGAAATATCTTCACATAAAAACTACATAGAAGCATTGTAAGAAATGTTATGTGTGCTTTCAACTCACAGAGTTGAAAGTATCTTTGATTGAGCAGTTTTGAATCTCTTTTTGCGGAATCTGCAAGTGGATATTTGGAGGGCTTTGAGGCCTACAGTAGAAAAGGAAATATCTTCACATAAAAACAACACAGACGCATTCTGAGAAACTTCTTTGTGATGCGTGCATCCATCTCACAGAGTTGAATCTTTCTTTTGATTGAGCAGTTTTGAAACACTCTTTTTGTAGAATCTGCAAGTGGATATTTGGAGCCGTTTGTGGCTTCTAGTGGAACAGGAAATAACTTCACATAAAAACTACACAGAGCATTCTGAGAAACTTCTTTGTGAGGTGTACATTCATCTCACAGGGTTGAATACTTCTTTTGATTCAGCAGTTTTCAAACACTCTTTTTTGTAGAATCTGCAAGTGCATAATTGGAGCCATTTGAGGCCTATTGTGGAAAAGGAAATATCTTCACATGAAAACTACTCAGAAGCATTCCGAGAAATTTCTCTGTGTTGTGTGCATTTAACTCACAGAGATGAATCTATCTTTGATTGAGCCATTTGGAATCTCTCTTTTTGTAGAATCTGCAAGTGGATATTTGGAACCATTTGTGCCCTATGCTGGAAAAGGCTATATCTTCAAATAAAAATTACAGAGAAGCATTATCAGAAACGTCTTCCTGATGTGTGCCATCAACTCACAGAGTTGAACCTATCTTTTGATTGAGCAGTTTTGAATCTCTCTTTTTGTAGAATCTGCATCTGCATATTTGGAGTGCTGTGAGACCTACTGTGGAAAATCAAATATGTTCACATAAAACCTACACAGAATCTTTGAGGCCTATTGTGGAAATGAAATATGTTCATATAAAAAGTACACAGAAGTATTCAGAGAAACTTCTTTGTGAGGTGTGCATTCAACTCACAGAGTTGAACTTATCTTCTCCTTGAGTAGATTTAAATCTCTCTTTTTGTATAATCTGCAAGTGGATATTTGGAGCCTTATGCACCCTAACGTGAAAAGGAAATATCTTCAAATAAAAACTACACAGAAGCATTCACGGCAACTTATTTGTGATGTATGCATTCAACTCACAGAGCTGAACCTTTCCTTTGATAAAGCAGTTTTGAAAAACTGTTTTTGTAAAATCTGCAAGTGGATACTTTGAGCGCTTTGAGGCCTTTGGTAGAAAAGGAATATGTTCATAAAAAAACTAGACAGAAATATTCTGAGAAACTTCTTTGTGATTTATGGAATTCATCTCACAGGGTTGAACTCATCTTTTGGTCGAGCGGTTTACAATCTCTCTTTTTGTACAATCTGGAAGTTTATATTTGGACCCCTTTGTGCCTTATGGTGGAAAAGGAAATATCTTCAAATAAAAACTACACAGAATCATTTTCAGAAACTTCTTCACGATGTGTGCATTCAAATCACAGAGTTGAACCTATCCATTGATTGAGCAGTTTAGAATCTCTCTTTTTGTAGGATCTGCAAGTGGATATTTGGAGTCCTACGTGTCCTATGGTGGAAAAGGAAATATGTTCAATTAAAAACTACATAGAAGCATTCTCAGAAACTTCCTCTTGATGTGTGCATTCAACTCACAAAATTGAACCTATGTTTTGATGGAGCAGTTTGGAATCTCTCTTTTTGAAGAATGTGCAAATGGATATTTGGAGCGCTGTTTGGCCTACTGTGTAAAATCGAATATGTTCCCCTAAAAACCACACAGAAGCATTCTGATAAACTTCTTTGTGATGGGTGCATTCAACTCACTGTGTTGAACCTATCTTTTGATAGAGCAGTTTTGAAACACTTTGTAGAATCTGCAGGTGGATATTTGGTGCGCTGTGAGGCCTATGGTGGAAAAGGCAATGCCTTCACATAGAAACTAGACAGAGGGTTCTCCAAAACTTCTTTGTGATGTGTGCGTTCAACTCACAGAGTTGAACCTGTCTTTTGACAGACCAGCTTTGAAACGCTCCTTTTGTAGAATCTGCAAGTGGATAATTGGAGTGCGTTGAAGCCTATGATGGAAAAGTAAATACCTTAATATAAAAACCAGACGGAAGCATTTTCTGAAAATTTTTGTGATGTGGACATTCAACTTATTGTGCTGAACCTTTCTTTTGATAGAGCAGTTTTGAAACACTCTTTTTGTAGAATCTGCAAATGGATAATTGGAGCACTTTGAGGTCTATGATAGAAATGGAAATATCTTCACATAAAAACTAGACGTAAGCATTCTGAGATACTTCTATGTGATGTGTGCATTCACGTCACAGAGTTGAGCCTTTTTTTTGATAGAAGAGTTTTGATACACTCTTTATGTAGAATCTACAAGTGAATATTTGGAGTGTTTTGAGGCCTATGGTGGAAAAGGAAATATCTTCACATAAAAACTAGAAAGAAGCATTCTCAGAAACTTCTTTGTGATGTGTGCATTCAACTCACAGAGTTGAACATTTCTTTTGATGGAGCAGATTTGAATCACTCTTTTTGTAGAATCTGCAAGAGGATATTTCGTTCCCTTGGTGGCCTATGTTGGAAAAGGAAATATCTTCACATAAAAACTTGACAGAAGCTTTCTCAGAAACTTCTTTGTGATGTGTGCATTCAACTCACAGAGTTGAACCTTTCTTTTGATAGAGCAGCTTTGAAACACTCTTTTTGTAGTATCTGCAAGTAGATATTTGGAGCACTTTAAGGCCTATGCTGGAAAAGGAAATATCTTCACATAAAAACTAGACAGAAGCATTCCCAGAAATATCTTTGTGATTTATATATTGAATTCATAGGGTTGAACCTTTCTTTTGATACAGCAGTTTTGAAATACTCTTTTTGTAGAAACTGCATGTGGATATTTGGAGTGCTTTGGGGCCTGTGGAGGAAAAGGTAATATCTTCACAAAAAAAAAAAAAATTCTCAGAAACTTCTTTGTGATGTGTACATTCAACTCACAGAGTTGAACCTTTCTTTTGATACAGTTGTTTTGAAACACTCTTTTTCTAGAATCTGCAAGTGGATATTTTGTTCCCTTTGAGGCCAATGTTGGAAAAGGAAATACCTTCACATAAAAACTAGACAGAAGCATTCTCAGAAACTTCTTTGTGTTGTGTGCATTCAACTCACAGAGTTGAACCTTTCTTTTGACAGAGCAGTTTTGAAACACTCTTTTTGTAGGATCTGGAAGTGGATATTTGGAGCGCTTTGATGCCTATGGTGGAAAAGGAAATATCTTGACATTAAAACTAGACAGAAACATTCTCAAATATTTCTCTGTGATTTGTGCACTCAACTCACAGAGTTGAACCTTCCTTTTGATAGAGCAGTTTTGAAACACTCCTTTTGTAGATTCTGCAAGTGGATATTTGGAGCATTTGGAGGCCTATGGTATAAAAGGAATATCTTCATATAAAAACTAGAGAGAAGCATTCTAAGAAACTTCTTTGTGATGTGTACATTCAACTCACAGAGTTGGGCCTTTCTTTTGATAGAGCAGTTTTGAAACACTCTTTTTGTAGAATCTGTGATTCGATATTTGGAGAGCTTTGAGGCCCATGGTGAAAAACGAAATATCTTCACATAGAAACTAGACAGAAGCATTCTCCGAAACTTCTTTGTGATGTGTGCATTCAACTCACAGAGTTGAACCAATCTTTTGATTCAGCAATTTAGAAACACTATTTTGTAGAATCTGCAAGTGGATATTTGGAGACTTTTGAGGCCTATGGTGGGAAAGGAAATATCTTCACATAAAAACTAGACAAAAGCATTCTCAGAAACTTTTTCTTATGTGGGCATTGAACTCACAGAGTTGAACCTTTCTTTTTATAGAGAAGTTTTGAAACACTCTTTTTGTAGAATCTGCAAGTGGATATTTAGAGCGCTATGAGGCATATGTTGGAAAAGGAAATATCTTCACATAAAACCTAGACAGAAGCATTCTCATAAACTTCTTTGTGATGTGCGCATTCAACTCACACAGTTGAACCTTTTTTTTGATAGAGCACTTTTGAAACACTCTTACTGTAGTATATGCAAGTGGATGTTTGGAGTGCTTTGAGGCCTATGGTGGAAAAGGAAATACCTTCACATAAAAACTAGACAGAAGCATTCTCAGAAACTTTTTGGTGATGTGTGCGTTCAACTCACAGAGTTGAACCATTCTTTTGATTGAGCAGTTTTGAAACTCTCTTTTTGTAGAATCTGCAAGTGTATATTTTGTTCCCTTTGAGGCCTATGTTGGAAAAGGAAATATCTTCACATAAAAACTAGATAGAATGATTTTCATAAGCTTCTTTGTGATGTGCACATTCAACTCACAGTTTTGAACCTTTCTTTTGATAGAGCAGTTTTGAAACACTCTTTTTGTAGATTCTGCAAGTTGATATTTGGAGCGCTTTGAGGCCTATGTTGGAAAAGGAAATATCTTTACATAAAAACTAGACAGAAGAATTCCCCGAAACTTCTTTGTGATGTGTGCATTCAACGAACACATTTGAACCTTTATTTTGATACAGCAGTTTTGAAACAGTCTTTCCGAAGGATCTGCAAGTGGATTTTTTTTCCCTTTGAGGCCTATGTTGGAAAACGAAATATATTCACATAAAAACTAGACAGAATTATTCTCAGAAACTTATTCATGATGTGTGTATTCAACTCTCAGTGTGTTCTTTTCTTTTGATAGAGCAGTTTTGAAACACTCTTTTTGTAGAATCTGCAAGTTGTTATTTGGAGCGCATTGAGGCCTGTGCTGGGAAAGGAAATATCTTCACATAAAAACTAGACAGAAGCATTCTCAGAAACTTCTTTGTGATGTCTGCATTCAACTCACAGTGTTGAACCTTTCTTTTCATAGAGCAGTTTTGAAACACTCTTTTTGTAAAATCTGCAAGTGGATATATGTAGCGCTTTGAGGCCTATGGTAGAAATAGACATATCTTCACATAAAAGAAAGACAGAGCCATTCTCCAAAACTTCTTTGTGATTTTTGTATTCAACTGAGAGAGTTGAACATTTCTTTTGATAGAGCTTTTTTTCTTTTTTTTTTTTTTAGTTATTATTATACTTTAAGTTTTAGGGTACATGTGCTCATTGTGCTGGTTAGTTACATATGTATACAAGTGCCATGCTAGTGCGCTGCACCCACTAACTCGTCATCTAACATTAGGTATATCTCCCAATGCTATCCCCACCCCCTCCCTGCACCCCACAGCAGTCCCCAGAATGTGATGCTCCCTTTCTTGTCTCCATGTGTTCTCATTGTTCAATTCCCACCTATGAGTGAGAATATGCGGAGTTTAGCTTTTTGTTCTTGCCATAGTTTACTGAGAATGATGTTTTCCAATTTCATCCATGTCCCTACAAAGGACATGAACTCATCTTTTTTTATGGCTGCGTAGTATTCCATGGTGTGTATGTGCCACATTTTCTTAATCCAGTCTATCATTGTTGGACATTTGGGTGGGTTCCAAATCTTTGCTATTGTGAATAATGCCGCAATGAACATACGTGTGTATGTGCCTTTATAGCAGCATGATTTATAGTCCTTTGGGTATATACCCAGTAATGGGATGGCTGGGTCAAATGGTATTTCTAGTTCTAAATCCCTGAGGAATAGCCACACTGACTTCCACAATGGTTGAACTAGTTTACAGTCCCACCAACAGTGTAAAAGTGTTCCTATTTCTCCACATCCTCTCCAGCACCTGTTGTTTCCTGACTTTTTAATGATTGACATTCTAACTGGTGTGCGATGGTATTTCATTGTGGTTTTGATTTACATTTTTCTGATGGTCAGTGATAGTGAGCATTTTTTCATGTGTTTTTTGGCTGCATAAATGTCTTCTTTTGAGAAGTGTCTGTTCATGTCCTTTGCCCACTTTTTGATGGGGTTGTTTGTTTTTTTCTTGTAAATTTGTTTGAGTTCATTGTAGATTCTGGATATTAGCCCTTTGTCAGATGAGTAGGTTGGGAAAATTTTCTCCCATTTTGTCGGTTGCCTGTTCACTCTGATGGTAGTTCCTTTTGCTGTGCAGAAGCTCTTTAGTTTAATTAGATCCCATTTGTCAATTTTGGCTTTGGTTGCCATTGCTTTTTGTGTTTTAGACATGAAGTCCTTGCCCATGCCTATATCCTGAATGGTAATGCCTAAGTTTTCTCCTAGGGTTTTTATGGTTTCGGGTCTAAGGTTTAAGTCTTTAATCCATCTTGAATTGATTTTTGTATAAGGTGTAAGGAAGGGATCCAGTTTCAGCTTTTTACATGTGACTAGCCAGTTTTCCCAGCACCATTTATTAAATAGGGAATCCTTTCCCCATTGCTTGTTTTTCTCAGGTTTGTCAAAGATCAGATAGTTGTAGATATGCGGTGTGACTTCTGAGGGCTCTGTTCTGTTCCATTGATCAATATCTCTGTTTTGATACCAGTACCATGGTGTTTTGTTTACTGTAGCCTTGTAGTATAGTTTGAAGTCAGGTAGAGTGATGCTTCCAGCTTTGTTCTTTTGACTTAGGATTGACTTGGTGATGCGGGCTCTTTTTTGGTTCCATATGAAATTTAAAGTAGTTTTTTCCAATTCTGTGAAGAAAGACATTGGTAGCTTGAAGGAGATGGCATTGAATTTGCAAATTACCTTTGGCAGTATGGCCATTTACACGATATTGATTCTTCCTACCCATCCGTATTCAACATAGTGTTGGATATTCTGGCCAGGGCAATTAGGCAGGAGAAGGAAATAAAGGGTATTCAATTATGAAAAGAGGAAGTCAAATTGTCCCTGTTTGCAGATGAAATGATTATATATTTTGAAAACCCTATTGTCTCAGCCCAAAATCTTCTTAAGCAGATAAGCAACTTCAGCAAAGTCTCAGCATGCAAAATCAATGTACAAAAATCACAAGCATTCTTATACACCAACAACAGACAAACAGAGAGTCAAATCATGAGTGAACTCCCATTCACAACTGCTTCAAAGAGAATAAAATACCTATGAATCCAACTTACAAGGAACGGGAAGGACCTCTTCAAGGAGAACTACAAACCAATGCTAAAGGAAATAAAAGAGGATACAAAAAATGGAAGAATATTCCATGCTCATGGGTGGGATAGAGCAGTTTTGAAACACTTTTTTGTAGAATCTGCAAGTGGATATTTGGTTCCCTTTGAGGCCTATGTTGGAAAAGAAAATATCTTCACATCAAAAATAAACCGAAGCATTCTCAGAAACTTCTTTGTGATGTGTGCATTCATCTCACGGAGTTGAACCATTCTTTTGATAGAGCAGTTTTGAAACACTCTTTTTGTAGAATCTGGAAGTGGATATTTGGAGCGTTTTGAGGCCGACAGTGGAAAAGGAAATATCTTCATTAAAAACAAGACAAAAGCATTCTCAGAAACTTCTTTGTGATGGGTGCATTCAAGTCACAGAGTTAAACATTTCTTTTGGTACAGCAGTTGTGAAACACCCTTTTGGTAGAATCTGCAAGGGGATATTTTGTTCCCTTTGAGGCCTACGTTGGAAAAGGAAATATCTTCACATAAAAACTAGACAGAAGTATTCTCAGAAACTTCTTTGTGATGTGTGCATTCAACTCACAGAGTTGAACTTTTCTTTTGACAGAGCAGTTTTGAAACACTCTTTTTGAGGAAACTGCAAGTGGATATTTGGAGCACGTTGAGGCCTATGGTGGAAAAGGAAATAACTTCACATAAAAACTAGATGGAAGCCTTGTCAGAAACTTCTCTCTGATGTGTGCATTCATCTCACAGAGTTGAACTTTCTTTTGATAGAGGAGTTTTGAAACACTCTTTTTGAGGAAACTGCAAATGGATATTTGGAGCGCTTTGAGGCCTATGATGGAAAATGAAATATTCTCACATAAAAATTAGACAGAAGCATTCTCAGAAACTTCTTTGTGATGTGTGCATTCAACTCACAGAGTTGAATCTTCCTTTTGATAGAGCAGTTTTGAAACACTCTTTTTGTAGAATCTGCAAGGTGATATTTGTAGCACTTTGAGGCATTTGCTGGAAACCGGAATATCTTCATATGAAAACTAGAAACATTCTCATAAACTTCTTGGTGACGTGTGCATTCAACACACAGTGTTGAACCTTCCCTTTGATAGAGCAGTTTTGAAACACTCTTTTTATAGAATCTGAAAGTGGATATATAGAGCGCTTTGAGGCCTTCGTTGGAAACGGGAATATCTTCACATAAAAACTAGACAGAAGCATTCTCAGAAACTTCTTTGTGATGAATGCGTTCAACTCACAGGTTGGAACCTTTATTTTGATAGAGCAGTTTTGAAACACTCTTTTGTAGCATCCGCAAGTGAATATTTGGAGGCCTTTTAGGCCTACGGTGGAAACAGGAATATCTTCACCTAAAAACTAGACAGAAGCATTCTCAGAATCTTCTTTGTGATGTGTGCATTCAACTCCAAGGGGTTAAACTTCCTTTTGATAGTGCAGTTCTGAAACACTCGTTTTGGAGAATCTGCAAGTGGATATATGCAGCGCTTTGAGGCCTGTGGTAGAGAAGAAAGTATCTTCATATAAAAACTAGACAGAAACGTTATCAGAAACTAATTTGTGTTGTGTGCATTCAGCTTTAAGAGTTGAAACTTTCTTTTGATAGAACAGTTTTGAAACACTGTTTTTGTAGAATCTGGAACTAGACTTTTTGAACACTCTGAAGCATGTGGTGGAAAAGGAAATATCTTCATATAAAAACTAGACAGAGGCATTCTCAGAAACTACTTTTTGATGTGTGCATTCAACTCACAGATTTGAACTCTTTTTTGATAGAACAGTTTTGAAACACTCTTTTTGTATAATCTGCAAGTGGACATTTGGAGAGCTTTCCGGCCTATGGTGGAAAAGGAAATATCTTCACATAAAAACTACACAGAAGCATTCTCAGGAACTTCTTTGTGATGTTTGCATTCAACACACAGATTTGAACATACCTTTTTATAGAGCAGTTTTGAAACACTCTTTTTGTGGAATCTGCAAGTTGATATTTGGGACCCTTTGACGCTTTCTTGGAAACGAGATATCTTCACATAAAAAGTAGACATAAGCATTCGCAGAAACTTTTTGTGATGTGTGCTTTCAACTCACAGAGTTGGAATTTTTTTTTGATAGAGCAGTTTTGAACCACGTTTTTGTAGAATCTGCAAGTGGACATTTGGTGCACTTTGAAGCCTGTGGTCGAGAAGGAAATATCTTCATATGAAAACTAGACAGAAGAATTCTCAGAAACTCCTCTGAGATATGTGCATTCAACTAACAGATTTGAACCTCTCTTTTGAAAGAGCAGATTTGAAACACTCGTTTTGTAGAATCTGCAAGTGGACATTTGGAGAGCTTTGAGGCCTATGGTGGAAATGGAAATATCTTCACATAAAAACTAGACAGAAGAATTCTCAGAATCTTCTTTGGGATGTTTGCATTCAACTCAGTTTTGAACATAAATTTTCATACAGCAGTTTTGAAACACTCTTTTTGTAGTATCTGCGAGGGAATATTTTGACCGCTTTGAGGCTTTCGATGGAAATGGGAATATCTTCACATAAAAAGTAGACAGAAGCATTCTCAGAAAATTCTTTGTGGTGTGTGTATTGAACTCACAGAGATGAACCTTCGTTTTGATAGGGTAGTTTTGAAACACTCTTTTTGTAGAATCTGCAAGTGGATATTTGGAGGACTATGAGGCTTATGGTGGAAACGGGAATATCTTCACCTAAAAACTAGACAGAAACATTCTCAGAAACTTCTTTGTGATGTGTGCATTCATCTCACAGAGTTGAAACTTACTTTTGATAGGGAAGTTTTGAAACAATTTTTGCAGAATCTACAAGTGGACATTTGCAGAGCTTTGAGGCCTGTGGTGGAAAAGGAAATATCTTCACATAAACACTAGACAGAAGCTTTCTCAGAAACTTCTGTGTGAGGTTTCTATTCAACTCACAGATTTGAACATACCTTTTCATAGAGTAGTTTTGAAACACTCTTTTTGGAGAATCTGCAAGTGGATATTTTGGCCCCTTTGAGGCTTTCGTTGGAAACGGGAATCTCTTCACAAAAAAAGTAGACGGAAGCATTCTCAGAAACTCCATTGTGATGTGTGCATTCACCTCACAAAGTTGGACCTTCCTTTTGATAGAGTAGTTTTGAAATACTCTTTTTGTAGAATCTGCAAGTGGATATTTGGACCGATTTGAGGCCTTCGTTGGAAACGGGAATATCTTCACATAAAAACTAGACAGAAGCATTCTGAGACACTTCCTTGTGATGTGTGCATTCAACACACAGAGTTGAACCCTCCCTCCTTTTGATAGAGTAGTTTTGAAACACTTTTTTTGTAGTATCTGCAAGTGGATATATGGAGTGCTTTGAGGCCTTCAGTGGAAATGGGAATATCTTCACATAAAAACTAGGTAAAAGCATTCTCGGAAACTTCTTTGTTATGTGTGCATTCAACTCACAGAGTGGAACCTTTCTTTTTATACAGCAGTTTTGAAAAACTATTTTTGTTGGTATCTGCAAGTGGATATTTGGAGGGCTTTCAAGCCTACGGCAGAAAGGGGAATACCTTCACCTACAAACTAGACAGAAGCATTCTCAGAAACTTCTTTGTGATGTGTGCATTCAAGTCACAGAGTTGAGCCTTCCTTTTGATAGAGCAGTTTTGAAACACTCTTTTGTAGAATCTTCAAGTGGATATAAGGAGTGCTTTGAGGCTCTGTTAGAAAAGGAAATATCTTCGTATAAAAACTACACAGAAGCATTCTCTGAAACGACTTTGTGATGAGTGCATTCAACTCACAGAGTTGAATCTTTCTTTTGATAGAGTAGTTTTGAAACATTCTTTTTGTTGAATCTGCAAGTGGGCATTAGGAGCACTCTGAGGCCTGTGGTGGAAAAGGAAATATCTTCATATAAAAACTAGACAGAAGCTTTCTCAAAAACTACTTTGTGATGTGTGCATTCAACTCACAGAGTTGAACATTTCTTTTGGCAGAGCAGTTTTCAAACACTCTTTTTGTAGAATCTGCAAGTGGACATTTGGAGAGCTTTGAGGCCTATGGTGGAAAAGGAAATATCTTCACAAAAAAACTAGACAGAAGGATTCTCAGAAACTTCTCTGTGATGTGTGCATTCAGCTCACAGTGTTGAACCTTTCTTTTGACAGAGCAGTTTTCAAACACTCTTTTTGTAGGATCTGCAAGTGGATATTTAGAGAGCTTTGAGGGCTATGTTGACAAAGGAAATATCTTCACATAAAAACTAGACAGAAGCATTCTCAAAAACTTCTTTTTGGTGAGTGCATTCAACTCACAGAGTTGAATCTTTCTTTTGATAGAGCAGTTTTGAAACACTCTTTTTGTGGAATCTGCAAGTAGATATGTGGAGCTCTTTTAGGCCTATTGTGGAAACGGAAATATCTTGACATAACAACAAGATAGAAGCATTCTCAGATACTTCTCTGTGATGTGGGCTTTCCTCTCACAGAGTTCAAGCTCTGTTTTGTTAGAGCAGTTTTGAAACGCTCTTTTTGTGGAATCTGCAAAGTGATATTTGGAGTGCTTTGAGGCCTATAGTGGTAAAGGAAATATCTTCACATAAAAAGTAGACAGAAGCATTCTCAGAAACTCCTTTGTGAAGTGTGCACTCAATTCACAGAGTTGAAACTTTCTTTTGATACAGTAGTTTTGAAATACCCTTTTCTGGAATCTGCAAGTGGATATTTGGAGCACCTTGAGGCCTACAGTGGAAAAGAAAATATCTTCACATAAAAACTGTACAGACGCAATTTCAGAAACTAATTTGTGATGTGTGCATTCAACTCACAGAGTTGAACTTTTCTTTTGATAGAGCAGTTTGGAAACTCTCTTTTTGTAGAATCTGCAAGTGGATATTTGGTTCCCTTTGAAGCATATGTTGGAAAATGAAATATCTTCACATAAAAACTAGACAGAAGCATTCTCAGATACTCCTTTGTGAAGTGTGCATTCAATTCACAGAGTTGAAACTTTCTTTTGATACAGTAGTTTTGAAACACACTTTTTCTAGAATCTGCAAGTGGATATTTGGAGTGCTTTGAGGCCTACAGTGGAAAAAGAAATATCTTCACATAAAAACTGTACAGAAGCAATTTCAGAAACTTCTTTGTGATGTGTGCATTCAACACACAGAGTTGAACTTTTCTTTTGATAGAGCCATTTGGAAACTCTCTTTTTGTAAAATCTGTAAGTGGATATTTGGTTCTCTTTGAAGCATATGTTGGAAAATGAAATATCTTCACATAAAAACTAGACAGAAGAATTCTCAGAAACTTCTTTGTTATGTGTGCATTCAACTCATGGAGTTGAACCTGTCTTCTGATTGTGCAGTTTTGAATCTCTCTTTTTACAGAATCTGAAAGTGAATGTTTGGAAACTTTTGTGGCCTATTGTGGAAAAGGAAATATCTCCACATAGAAACTACACAGAAGCATTCTGAGAAACTTCTTAGTGCGGTGTGCATTCACCTCACAGAGTTGAACTTATCTTCTTATTGAGCATTTTTGAATCTCTCTTTTTGTGGAATCTGCATGTGGATATTTGGAGCCCATTGCGCCCTATGGTGGAAAAGGAAATATCTTCAAATGAAAACCACCCAGAAACATTCAGAGAAACTTCTTTTGATGTATGAATTCAACTCACAGAGTTGAATCTATCTTTTGATTGAGCAGTTCTGAATCTCTCTTTTTCAGAATCTACAGGTGGATATTGTGAACCTTTTGAGGCCTACTATGGAAATGCAAATATCTTCACATTAAAACTACACAGAAGCATTCTGAGAAACTTCTTTTTGAGGTGTGCATTCAACTCACAGAGTTGAAATTATCTTCTCATTGAACAGTTTTGAATCTCTCCTTTTGTAGAATCTGCAAGTGGATATTTGGAGCCCATTGTGGTCTATGGTGGAAAAGGAAATATCTTCAAATAAAACTACACAGAAACATTCTGAGAAACTTCTTTGTGATGTGTTCATTCATCTCACAGGTTTGAACCTAACTTATCATTGAGCCGTTTTGAAACACTCTTTTTTTAGAATCTGCAAGTGGATATTTGGAGTGCTTTGAGGCCTACTGTTTAATAGGAAATATCTTCACATAAAAACTACACAGAAGCATTCTGAGAAACTACTTTGTGATGTGTGCATTCATTACACAGGGTTGAAACTTTCTTTTGATTGAGCAGTTTCAAAAGACTCTTTTTGTAGAATCTGCAAGTGGATATTTGGAGCCTTTGCGACTTATGGTGGAAAAGGAGATATCTTCAAATAAAGATACACAGAAGCATTCTGAGAAACTATTTTGTGATGTGTGCATTCACTTCACAGAGTTGAACTTATCTTATGAATGAGCAGTTTTGAAACACTCTTTTTTTTAAATCTGCAAGTGTATATTTGGAGCGGTTTGAAGCCTAATGTGGCAAAGCAAATATCTTTACATAAATACTACACAGAAGCATTCTGAGAAACTTCTTTGTGACGTGTGCATTCATCTCATGAGTTGAACCTTTCTTTTGATTGAGCAGTTTCAAAACACTCTTTCTGTAGAATCTGCAAGTGGATATTTGTAGCCTTTTGAGGTCTATTGGGAAAAGGAAATATCTTCACATAAAAACTACACAGAAGAATTCTGAGAAACTTCTTTGTGATGTGTGCATTCATCTCACAGAGTTGAACCTTTCTTTTGATTGAGCAGTTTTGAAACCTCTTTTTGTAGAGTCTGCAAGTGGATAATCGGAGCCCTTTGAGGCCTATTGTGGAAAAGGAAATATTTTCACATAAAAACTACTCAGAAGCATTCTGAGAAAATTCTTTGTGATGTGTGCATTCAACTCACAGAGTTGACCCTATGTTTTGACTGAGCAGTTTTGAATCGCTCTTTCTGTAGAATTTGGAAGTGGATATTTGAAGCCCTTTGCACTCTATGATGGAAAAGGAAATATCTTCAAATAAAAACTACACAGAAGCATTCTCAGAAACTTCTTCCTTATGTGTGCTTTCAACTCACAGAGTTGAACCTATCTTTTGATTGAAGAGTTTTTATCTCTCTTTTTGTAGAATCTGCAAGTGGGTATTTCGAGCACTGAAACGCCTACTGTGGAAAATCGAATATGTTCATATAAAAACTACACAGAAGCATTCTGAGAAACTTCTTTGTGATGTTTGCATTCACCTCTCAGAGTTGAGCCTATCTTATGATTGAGCAGTTTTGAAACACTCTTTTGTAGAGTCTGCAAGTGGATATTTGGAGCTCTTTGAGGCCTACCGTGGAAAAACAAATGTCTTCAGATAAAAACCACACAGAAGTATTCTGAGAAACTTCTTTGTGATGTGTGCATTCACCTCTCAGAGTTGAACCTATCTTACGATTGAGCAGTTTTGACACACTCTTTTGTAGAATCTGCAAGTGGATATTTGGAGCTCTTTGAGGCCTACCGTGGAAAAACAAATGTCTTCAGATAAAAACCACACAGAAGTATTCTGAGAAACTTCTTTGTGATGTGTGCCTTCATCTCACAGAGTTGAACCTTTCTTTTGATTGAGCAGTTTTGAAACAGTCTTTTTGTAGAATCGGCAAGTGGATATTTGGAGCCCTTTGAGACTTATTGGGAAAAGGAAATATCTTTACATAAAAAGTAAACAGAAGCATTCTGAGAAACTTCTTCATGATGTGTGCATTCATCTCACAGATTTGAACGTTTGTTTTTATTGAGCAGTTTTGAAACACTATTTTTGTAGAATCTGCAAGTGGATAATTAGAGCCCTTTGAGGCCTGTTGTGGAAAAGGAAATATCTTCACATAAAAACTACTCAGAAGCATTCTGAGAAACTTCTTAGTGATATTTGCATTCGCCTCACAGAGTTCAAACTTTCCTTCGATTGAGCAGTTTGAATCTCCCTTTCTGTAGAATCTGCAAGTGGATATTTGCAGGCCTTTGTGCCCTATGGTGGAAAAGGAAATATCTTCACATAAAACCTGCACAGGAGCACTCAGAGAAATTTCTTTGTGATGTATGCATTCAACTCACAGAGTTGAACCTATCTTTTCATGGAGCAGTTTTGAATCTCTCTTTTTGCTAGGTCTGCAGATGGATATTTGGAGCTCCTTGAGGCCTACTGTGGAAAAGTAAATAAGTTCACATAAAAACTGCACAGAAGCATTCTGAGAAAAATCTCTGGGATGTGTACATTAAACTCACAGTGTTGAAGCTATCTTTTCATGGAGCAGTTGTGAATCTCTCTTTTTGTTAGATCTGCAGTTGGATATTTGGAGCTCTTTGAGGCCTACTGTGGAAGAGCAAATAAGTTCACATAAAAACTGCACAGAAGCATTCTGAGAAACTTCTCTGGAATGTGTGCATTAAACTCACAGTGTTGAACGTGTCTTTTGATTGAACAGTTTTGAATCTCTCTTTTTGCAGAATCTGCAAGTGGATATTTGGAGCCCTTTGCGGCCTATGGTGGAAAAGGAAATATCTTCACATAAAAACTACACAGAAGCATTTTGAGAAACTTCTTTCTGAGGTTTGCATTCATCCCACAGAGTTGAACCTATCTTTTGATTGAGCAGTTTTGAATATCTCTTTTTGTCGAATCTGAAAGTGGATATTTGAAGCTCTGTGAGGCATACTGTGGAAAATCGAATATGTTCCCATAAAAAGTACACGGAATCATTCTCAGAAACTACTTTGTGATGTGTACATTCAACTCACAGAGTTGAAACTATTTTTTGATTGAGCAGCTTTAAATCTCACTTTTTGCAGAATCTGCAGGTGCATGTTTGGAGAGTTTTGAGGCCTATTGTAGAAATGGAAATATCTTCACATAAAAACTACACAGAAGCATTCTGAGAAACTTCTTTGTGAGGTGTGCATTCAACTCACAGAGTTGAATTTATTTTCTCATTGAACAGTTTTCAAGCTCCTTTTTGCAGAATCTGAAAGTGGATATTTGGAGCCCTTTGAGGCCTACTGTGGAAAAGCAAATATATTCACATAAAAACTACACAGAAGCATTCTGAGAAAGTTCTTTGGGATGTGTGCATTCAACTCACGGAGGTGAACCTATCTTTTGATTGAGCAGTTTTGAATCTCTCTTTTTGTATAATCTGCAAGTGGATTTTTGGAGTGCTGTGAGGTCTACTGTGGAAAATCAAATATGTTCACATAAAAACTACAGAGAAGCATTCTGAGAAACTTCTTTGTGATATGTGCATTCAACTCACGGAGTTGAATCTATGTTTTGATTGAGCAGTTTTGAATCTCTCTTTTTGCAGTATCTGCAAGTGGACGTTTGGAGCACTTTGAGGCCGGTGGCGGAAAAGGAAATATCTTCATATAAAAACAAGACAGAGGCATTCTGATAAACTTCTTTTTGAGGTGTGCATTCAACTCACAAAGTTGAACTTATCTTCTCATTGAGCAGATTTGAATCTCTGTTTTTGTGGAATCTGTAAGTGGATATTTGGAGCCTTTGCTCCCTATGGTGGAAAAGGAAATATCTTCAAATAAAAACTATACGGAAGCATTCAGAAACACTTCTTTGTGATGTGTTCGTTCACATCACAGGATTGAAACTACTTTATATTGAGCAGTTTTGAAACAATCTTTTTGTAGTATCTGCAAGTAGATAATTGGAGCCCTTTGAGGCCCATTGTGGAAAAGGATATATGTTCACAGAAAAACTACTCAGAAGCATTCTGAGACTCTTCTTTGTGATGTGTGCATTCAACTCACAGAGTTGAAACTATCTTTTGATTGAGCAGTTTAGAATCTCTCTTTTTGTAGAATCTGCAAGTGGATATTTAGAACACTTTGAGGCCTATTGTGGAAAAGGAAATATCTTCAAATAAAAACAACACAGAAGAATTCTCAGAAACTTATTCATGATGTGTGCATTCAGCTCACAAAGTTGAATCTATCTTTTTATGGAGCAGTTCAGAATCCCTCTTTTTGTAGAATCTGCAAGTAGAAATTTGGAGCGCTGTGAGGTCTACTGTGGAAAATCAAATATGTTCACATAAAAACTATGCAGAAGCACTCTGAGAAACTTCTTTGGGATGTGTGCATTCAACTCACAGAGTTGAACCCATCTTTTCATAGAGCAGTTTTGAAACACACATTTTGTAGAATCTGCAAGTGGATATTTGTTTCCCTTTAAGGCTTATGATGGAAAACAAACTATCTTCACATAACAACTAGACAGAAGCGTTTGCCGAGGCTTCTTTGTCATGTGTGCATTCAACTCACAGAGTTGAAAGTTTCTTTTGTTAGAGCAGTTTTCAAACACTCTTTTTGTATAATCTGCAAGTTGATATTTGGTTCCTTTGGGGCCAAAGTTGGAAAACGAAATATCTTCACATAAAAACTACACAGAAGCATTCTCATAAACTTCTTTTTGATGTGTGCATTCAACTCACAGAGATGAACCTTTCTTTTGATAGAGCAGTTTTGAAACACTCTTTTTGTAGAATCCGCATGTGGATATTTGGAACGCTTGAGGCGTATGGTGGAAAAGGAAATATCTTCACGTAAAAAACAGACAGCAGCACTCCCTGAAATTCTTTGTGATGTGTGAATTCTGCTCACAGAGTTGAAAATTTCTTTTAATAGAGCATCTTTAAAACACTCTTTTAGTATAATCTGCAAGAGGAAATTTGGCTCCCTTTGAGGCCTATGTTGGAAAACGAAATATCTTCACATAAATACAAGACAGAAGCAATCTCAGAAAATTCTTTGTGATATATGCATACAAATCACAGAGTTGAAACTTTCTCTTGATAGATCAGATTTGAAAAACTCTTTTTGTAGAATCTGCAAGTGGATAGTTGGAGTGCTTTGAGGACTAAGGAGGAAGAGGAATTATCTTCACATAAAAACTAGATAGAAGCATTCTCCGAAACTTATTTGTGATCTGTGCATTCAACTCACAGATTTGAACCTATCTTTTGATTGAGAAGTATAGAATCTCTCTTTTTGTAGAATCTGCAAGTGGATATTTGGATACCTTTACCCCCTATGGTGGAAAAAGGATTATTTTCAAATAAAAACTACACAGAAGCATTCTCAGAAACTTCTTCATGATGTGTGCATTCATCTCACATTGTTAAATCTATCTTTTGATTGAGCAGATTTGAATATCTCTTTTTGTAGAATCTGCAAGTGTATACATGGAGAGATTTGAGATCTACAGTGGAAAAGCAAATATCTTCAGATAAAAACTACACAGAAGGATTCTGAGAAACTTCTTTGTGATGTGTACATTCATCTCACGGAGTAGAATCTTTCTTTTGATTGAGCAGTTTTGAAACACTCCTTTTGTAGAATCTGCAAGTGGATACTTGGAGCGCTTTGAGGCCTAAGGTGGAAAAGGAAGTATCTTCACATAAAAGCTAGTCAGAAGCATTGTCAGAAACTTCTCTGTGATGTGTTCATTCAACTCACAGAGTTGAACATTTCTTTTTACAGAGCAGTTTTGAAAAAATGCTTTTGTAGAATCTGCAATTATATATTCTGTTCCCTTTCAGTCCTATGTTAGAAAACAAAATATCTTCACATAAAAACTAGACCGAAGCACTCTCAGATACTTTTTTTGATGTGTGCCTTCAACTTAAAGTGTTGAAGCTTTCTTCTGATAGAGCAGTTTTGAAACACTCTTTTTCTGGAATTTGCAAGTGGATGTTTTGAGCGCTTTGAGGCATATGGTGAAAAAGGTAATATCTTCACAAAAAAATACAAAGAAGCATTCTCAGCAACTTCTTTGTGATGTGTGCACTCAACTCACAGAGTTGAACCTTTCTTTTGATAGAACAGCTTTGAAACACACTTTTTGTAGCATCTCCAAGTGGATATATGGAGGGCTTAGAGGCCTATGGTGTAAAAGGAAATATATTCATATAAAAACTAGACAGAAGCATTCTCAGAAACTTCCTTGTGATGTGTGCATTCAACTCACAGAGTTGAAAGTTTCTTTTGATAGAGCAGTTATGAAACACTCTTTTTGTATAATCTGCAAGTTGATATTTGGTAACTTTTGAGTCCTATGTTGGAAAACGAAATATCATCACATAAAAGCTAGAAATAATCATTCTCAGAAACTTCCTAGTGAAGTGTGCATTCAACACACAGAGGTGAACCTTTCTTTTGATAAAGCAGTTTTGAAACACTCTTTTGTAGAAGCTGCAAGTGGATATAAGAAGTGCTTTGAGGCCTAAGTTAGAAAAGGAAATATCTTCACATGAAAACTAGAGAGAAGCATTCACAAAAACTTCTTTGTGATGTGTGCATTCAGCTCACAGAGTTGAACCTTTCTTTTGATAGAGCAGTTTTGAAACACACTTTTTGTAGAATCTCCAAGTGGATATAAGGAGGTCTTAGAGGCCTATGGTGTAAAAGGAAAGGTATTCACATAAAAACTAAACAGAAGCATTATCAGAAACTTCCTTGTGATGTGTGTATTCAACTCAAATAGTTGAAACATTGTTTTGAAAGAGTAGTTTTGAAATACTCTTTTTGTAGAATCTGTAAATGGATATTTGGAGCACGTTGAGGCCTATGGTGGAAAAGGAAATATCTTCACATAAAAACTAGACAGAAGGATTCTCAGAAACGTCTTTGTGATCTGCGGATTCAACTCACGGAATTTAACCTATCTTTTGATAGAGCAGTTTTGAAACACATTTTGTAGAATCTGCAAGTGGATATTTCGTTCCCTTTGAGGTCTATAATGGAAAATGAACTATTTTCACATAAAAAGTATTGAGAAGCATTCTCCGAACTTCTTTGTGATGTGTGCATTCAACTCAAAGAGTTGAAAGTTTCTTTTGATACAGCAGTTTTGAAACACTCTTTTTATGTAATCTGCAAGTTGATATTTGGTAACTTTTGAGTCCTATGTTGGAAAATGAAATATCATCACATAAAAGCTAGACAGAATCATTCTCAGAAACTACCTTGTGATGTGTGCATTCAACTCACAAAGCTGAACCTTTCTTTTGATAAAGCAGTTTTGAAACACTGTTTTTGAAGAATCTGCATGTGGATATTTGGAGCGATTTGAGGCCTATGGTGGAAAAGGAAATATCTTCACAAAAAATTACACAGAAGCATTCCTCAAAACTGCTTTTTATGTGTGCATTGAACTCACAGAGTTGAATCTTTCTTTCGATACAGCAGTTTTGAAACACTATTTTTGTAGTATCTGCAAATGGATATTTGGAGTGCTTTAAGGCCTATGATGTAAAAGGAAATATCTTCACATGAAAACTAGAGAGAAGCATTCGCAGAAACTTCTTTGTGATGTGTGCATTCAACTCACAGAGTTGAACCTTTCTTTTGATAGAGCAGTTTCGAAACATGCTTTTTGTAGAATCTACACGTGGTTATTTGGAGCGCTTTGAGGCCTACGGTGCAAAAGGAAATATCTTCACATAAAAACTAGACAGAAGCATTCTCAGTTACTTCTTTGTGATGTGTGCAATCAACTCACAGAGTTGAACCTATCTTTTGATAGAGCAGTTTTGAAACACACATTTTGTAGAATCTGCAAGTGGATATTTAGTTCCCTTTGTGACCGATAATGGAAAACGAACGATCTTCACATAAAAACTAGACAGAGGTATTCTCCTAAACTTCTTTTTTATGTGTGCATTCAACACACAGAGTTGAAAGTTTCTTTTGATAGAGCAGTTTTGAAAAACCCTTTTTGTATAATCTGCAAGTTGATATTTTGTACCTTTTGAGGCCTATGTTGGAAAACAAAATATCTTCACATAAAAGCTAGACAGAAGCATTCTCAGAAACTCCTTTGTGATGTGTGAATTCAACTCACAGAGTTGAACCTTTGTGCATGTGGATATTTGGAGCCCTTTGTGGCCTATGGTGGAAAAGGAAATATCTTCACATAAAAACTAGACAGAAGCATTTTCAAAAACTTCCTTGTGATGTATGCATTCAACTCACAGAGTTGAATCTTTCTTTTGACACAGCACTTTTGAAACACTCTTTTTGTAGTATCTTCAAATGGATATTTGGAGTGCTTTAACGCCTATGATTTAAAAAGGAAATATCTTCACATGAAAAGTGGACAGTAGCATTCTTCGAAACTTCTTTGTGATGTGAGCATTCAACTCAGTGATTTGAAAATTTCTTTTATTAGAGCATGTTTGAAACACTCTTTTTGTAGAATCTGCAAGTGGAAAGTTTGTTCCCTCTGAGGCCTATGTTGGAAAACCTACTATCTTCACATAAAATCTAGAAAGAAGCATTCTCAGAAACTTCTTTGTGATGTATGCATTCTACACACAGAGTAGAACCTTTCCTTTCATAGAGCAGTTTTGAAACTCTCTTTTTGTAGAATCTGCAAATGGATACTTGGGGCACTTTGAGGCCTAAGGTGGAAAAGGAATTATCTTCCCATAAAAACTAGACAGAAGCATTCTCCGAAACTTCTTTGTGATGTGTGCACTCAACTCACAGAGTTTAACCTTTCTTTCAAAAGAGCAGTTTTGAAACACTCATTTTGTAGTGTCTGCAAGTGGATATTTCGAGCGCTTGGAGGCCTATGGTGGAAAAGGAATATCTTCCCAGAAAAAGTAGACAGAAGCGTTCTCAGAAACTGCTTTGTGATGTGTGCATTCAACTCACAGAGTTGAACCTTTCTTTTGACAGAGAAGTTTTGAAACACTCTTTTTGTAGAATCTCAAAGTGGATATATGGAGGGCTTAGAGTCCTATGGTGGAAAAGGAAATATGTTCACATATAAACTAGACAGAAGCATTCTCAGAAACTTCTTTGTGATGTGTGCGTTCAACTCACAGAGTTCAATATTTGTTTTGATAGATCATTTTTGAAACACTCTGTTTGTAGAATTGGAAGTGCATATTTGGAGTGCTGTGAGGCTTACAGTGGAAAAGGAAATACCTTCACATTAAAACTGGACAGAAGCATTCTCTGAAACTTCTTTGTGATGTGCGCATTCAACTCACAGAGTTTAATCTTTCTTTTGATAGAGCAGTTTTGAAACACTTTTTTTCTGGAATTTGCAAGTGGATGTTTTGAGTGCTTTGAGGCCTATGGTGGAAAAGGAAATATCTTCACAAAAAATCTACACAGATGCATTCTTAGAAACCTCTTTGTGATGTGTGCACTCAACTCACATAGTTGAACCTTTCTTTTGATAGAGCAGTTTTGAAACACACTTTTTGTAGAATCTCCAAGTGGCTATATGGAGGGCTTGGAGGTATGGTGTAAAAGGAAATATATTCACATAAATACTAGACAGAAGCATTCTCAGAAACTTCCTTGTGATGTGTGCATTCAACTCAAATAGTTGAAACTTTCTTTTGAAAGAGTAGTTTTGAAACACTCTTTTTGTAGAATCCGCAAGTGGATATTTGGAGCGCTTTGAGGCCTACGGTGCAAAAGGAAATATCTTCACATAAAAACTAGATGGAAGCATTCTCCGAAACTACTTTGTGATGTGTGCATTCAACTCACAGAGTTGAACCTTTCTTTTGATAGAGCAGTTTTGAAACACTCTTTTTGGAGAATCTGTAAGTGGATATTTGGAGCCCTTTGAGTCCTACTGTGGAAAAGGAAATATCTTCACATTAAAACTACACAGAACCTTTCTGATAAACTTCTTTGTGTTGTGTACATTCATCTCACAGAGTTGAACCTTTCTTTTGATTGAGCAGTTTTGACACACACTTTTGGTAGAATCGGCAATTGGATAATTGGAACCCTTTCATGCCTATTGTTGAAATGGGAATATCTTCACATAAAAACTACTCAGACGCATTCTGAGAATCTTCTTTTTGATGTGGGCATTCAACTCACAGAGTTGAAACTATCTTTTGATTGAGCAGGTTTGAAACTCTCTTTTTGCAGGATCTGCAGGTGAATGTTTGGAGCCCTTTGAGGCCTATACTGCAGAAAAGCAAATATCTTCCCATAAAAACGACACAGAATCATGCTAAGAAACTTCTTTGGGATGTGTGCATTTAACTCACAGAGTTGTACCTATCTTTTGAGTGAGAAGTTTTGAAACTCTTTTTGCAGAATCTGCAAGTGGATATTTGGAGCCCTTTGCGGCCAATGCTGGAAAAGGAAATATCTTCAAATGAAAACTACTCAGAGAGATTCTGAGAAGCTTCTTTATGAGGTGTACATTCGTCTCATTGGCTTGAACCTATCTTATGCTTGAGTAGTTTTGAAACATTCTTTTTGTAGAATCTGCAATAGGATATATGGAGTGCTTTGAGGCCTATCATGGAAAAGCAAATATCTTCAGATAAAAACTACACAGAAGCATTCTCAGAAACTTCTTTGTGATGCGTACATTCATCTCACAGTGTTGAACCTTTCTTATGATATAGTAGTTTTGAAACACTCTGTTTGTAGCATCTGTAAGTGGATATTTGGAGCTGTTTGAAGCCTGTTGTGGAAAAGGAAATATCTCCACATAAAAACTGCATAGAAGCATTCTGAGAAACTTCTTTCTGATGTACACATTCATCTCACAGAGTTGAACATTTCTTTTGTTTGAGCAGTTTTGAAACTCTCTTTTTGTAGAATCTGCAACTGGATAATTGGAACACTTTGAGGCCTATTATGGAAAAGGAAATACATTCACATAAAAACTACTCAGAAGCATTCTGAGAAACATCTTTGTGATATCGGCATTCAACTCACACAGTTGCACCTATCTTTTGATTGAGCAGCTATGAATCTCTCTTTTTGTAGAATCTGCGGTTGGATATTTGGAGCCCTTTGAGGCATATGTTGGAAAAGCAATATCTTCAGACAAAAATTACACAGAAGCATTCTGAGAAACTTCTTTGTGATGTGTGCATTCATCTCACAAATTTGAAACTTTCTTTTGATTGAGCACTTTTGAGACACTCTTTTTGTAGAATTTGCAAGTGGATATTTGGAGCGCAGTTAGTCCTACTGTGGGCAATCGAATATGTTCACATAAAAACTACAAAGAAGCATTCTGAGAAACTTCTTTGGGATGTGTGCATTCAACTCACAGAGATGAACCTATCTTTTGATAGAGCAGTTTTGAAACACACATTTTGTAGAATCTGCAAGTGGATATTTTGTTCCCTTTGAGGCCTATAATGTAAAATAAACTATTTTCACATAAAAACTAGAGAGAAGCTTTCTCCAAAACTTCTTTGTAATATGTGCATTCAAAACACAGAGTTGAAAGTTTCTTTTGATAGAGCAATTTTGAAGAACTCTTTTCTTATAATCTGTGAGTTGATATTTGGTACCTCTTGAGGCCTATGTTGGAAAACGAAATATATTCACATAAAAGCTAGACAGAAGCATTATCAGAAAGTTCCTTGTGATGTGTGCATTCAACACACAGAGTTGAACCTTTATTTTGATAGAGCTGTTTGGAAACATTCTTTTTGTAGAATCTGCATGTTGATATCTGGAGTGCTTTGAGGCCTACTGTGGAAACGGAAATTACTTCCCATAAAAACTTAACTAAAACATTCTCAGAAACTTCTTTTTGATGCGTGCATTCAACTCACAGAGTTGAACCTTTCCTTTTATAGAGCAGTTTTGAAGCACTGTTTTTATAGTATCTGCAAGTGGATATTTAGACCGCTTTGAGGCCTATGGTGTAAAGGACATATATTCACATAAAAACTAGACAGAAACGTTCTCAGAAACTTCTTTGTGATGTGTGCATTCAACTCAGAGAGTTGAAACTTTCTTTTGATACAGCAGTTTTAAAACAATCTTTTTGTAGAGTCTGCAAGTGGATATACGTAGGGCTTAAACGCCTATGGTGGAAAAGGAAATATGTTCACATAAAAAGTAGACAGAAGCATTCGCAGAAACTACTTTGTGATGTTTGCATTCAACTCACAGATTTGAACATAACTTTTCACAGAGCAGTTTTGAAACACTCTTTTTGTAGTGTCTGCAAGGGTATATTTGGGCAGCTTTGAGACTTTCTTTGCAAATGGGAATATCTTCACATAAAAAGAAGACAGAAGCATTCTCAGAAACTTCATTGTGATGTGTCCATTCAACTCACAGAGTTGAACCTGCCTTTTGATACTGTAGTTTTGAAACAGTCTTTTTGTAAAATCTGCAAGTGGATATTCGGACCATTTTGCGGACTTCGTTGGAAACGGGAATAACTTCAGATTAAAAACGAGACAGAAGCATTCTCAGAAACTGCTTTGTAATGTGTGCATTCAACTCACAGAGTTGAACATTCCTTTTGATAGAGTAGTTTTCAAACACTCTTTTTGTAAAATCTGCAAGTGGATACATGGAGCACTTTGAGGCTTTTGTTGGAAACGGGAATATCTTCACATAAAAACTAGACAGAAGCATTCACAAAAACATCTTTGTGATGTCTGCATTCAACTCACAGAGTTGAACATTCCTTTGGATACAGCAGTTTTGAAAAACTCTTTTTGTAGTATCTGCAAGTGGATATATGCATTGCTTTCAGGCCTTCGGTGGAAATGAGAATATATTCACATAAAAACTAGACAGAAGAATTCTCATAAACTTCTTTGTGATGTGTGCATTCAACTGAGAGTTGAAACTATCTTTTGATAGAGCAGTTTTGAAACACTCTTTTTGTGGAATCTGCAAGTGGATATTTGGGGCGCTTTGGGGCCTCTGGTGGAAAAGGAAATATCTTCACATAAAATCTAGACAGAAGCATTCTCAGAAACTTCTTTGTGATGTGTGCATTCAACTGAGAGTTGAAACTATCTTTTGATAGAGCAGTTTTGAAACACTCTTTTTGTGGAATCTGCAAGTGGATATTTGGGGCGCTTTGTGGCCTCTGGTGGAAAAGGAAATATCTTCACATAAAATCTGGACAGAAGCATTCTCAGAAACTTCTTTGTGATGTGTGCATTCAACTCACAGAGTTGAACCCTTCTTTTGATAGAGCAGTTTTGAAACACTCTCCTTGTAGAATCTGCAAGTGGACATTTGTAGTGCTTTGAGGACTATGGTGGAAATCAAAATATCTTCACACAATCACTAGACAGAAGCATTCTCAGAAATCTCTCTCTAATGTGGGCATTCAAATCGTAGAGTTGAACATTTCTTTTGATAGAGCAGTTTTGAAACACTTTTTTTTTTTGGAATCTGCAAGTGGATATTTGTTCCCATTGAGGCCTACGGTGGGAAAGGAAATATCTTCACAGAAAAACTGGACAGAAGCATTCTCAGAAACTACTTTGTGATGTGTGCATTCAACTCACAGAAGTAAACCTTTCTTTTGATAGAGAAGTTTTGAAACTATCTTTTTATAGAAGCTGCAAGTGGATATTTGGAGGTGTTGAGGACTATGGTGGAAAAGGAAATATCTTTAAAAAAAACTAGACAGAAGCATTCTCAGAAACTTCTTTGTGATGTGTACATTGAACACACAGAGTTGAAACTTTCTTTTGATGGAGCAGTTTTGAAATACTCTTTTTGTAGAATCTGCAAGTGAATATTTGGTTCCCTTAGAGGCCTATTGTGGAAAAGGAAATATCTTTACATAAAAACGAGACAGAAACATTATAAGAAACATCTTTGTGATGTGTGCATTCAACTCACAGATTTGAACATTTCTTTTGATAGAGCAGTTTTCAAAAACTGGTTTTGTAGAATCTGTATGTGGATATTTGCTTCCATTTGAGGCCTGTGTTGGAAAACCAAATAACTTCACATAGAAATTAGACAGGAGCATTATCAGAATCTTCTTTGTGATGTTTGCATTCAACTCTCAGAGTTGAAACTTTGTTTGATACATCAGTATCGAAACACTCTTTTTTTAGAATCTGCTAGGGTATATTTGAAGTGCTTTGATGCCTATAGTGGAAAAGGAAACATCTTCTCATAAACAAGAGACAGAAGCATTCTCAGAAATTTCTTTGTGATGTGTGCATTCAACTCACAGGGTTGAAGCTTTCTTTTGATACAGTAGTTTTGAAACACTATTTGTAGAATCTGCAAGTGGATATTTGAAGTGCTTTGAGGCCTCTGGTGGAAAAGGAAATATCTCCACATAAAAACTAGACAGAAGCATTCTCAGAAACTTCTTTTTGATGTGTGCATTCAACGCCCAGAGTTGAACTTTTTTTTAATAAAGCCGTTTTGAAACACTCTTATTGTAGAATCTGCAATTGGATGTTCGGAGCTCTTTGAGGCCTAAGGTAGAAAAGGAAATATCTTCACATAAAAACTAGACAGAAGCATTATCAGAAACTTCTTTGTGATTTGTGCATTCTACTAACAGATTTGAAACTTTCTTTTGATACAACAGTTTGAAACACTTTTTTTGTAGAATCTGTGAGTGGATATTTCGAGGGCTTGGAGGCCTATGGTCTAAAAGGAAATATGTTCACATAAAAAGTAGACAGAAGCATTCTAAGAAAGTTCTTTGTGATGTGTGAATTCAAGTCACAGAGTTGAAACTTTCTCTGATGAGCAGTTGTGAAACAATCATTTGTAGAATCTGCAAGTGGATATTAGAAGCGCTTTGATGCCTATGGTGGAAAAGGAAATATGGACATAAAAACTAGACATAAGCATTCTCTGAAACTTCTTAGTGATGTGTGCATTCAACTCACAGAGTTGAACCTTTCTTTTGATAGAGTAGTTTGGAAAAACTCTTTTTGTAAAATCTGCAAGTGGATATTTGGAGCGCTTTTAGGCCTAGGTTGGAAAAGGAAATATCTTCACATAAAAACTAGACAGAAGCATTCTCAGAAACTTCTTTGTGATGTGTGCATTCAACTGACAGAGTTGAACCTTCCTTTTGATAGAGCAGTTTTCAAACACTATTTTTATAGAATCTGCATGTGGATATTTTCTTTCCGTTGATGTCTATGTTGGAAAACGAAATATTTTCAAATAAAAACTAGACAGAAACATTCGCAGAAACTTCTTTCTGATGTGTGTATTCAACTCACAGAGTTGAAACTTTCTTTTGATAGAGCAGTTTCAAAAAGCTCTTTCTGTAGAATCTTCAAGTGGATATTTGGAGCGCTTTGGAGCGTGCGGTGGTAAAGGAAATATCTTCACATAAAAACTAGACAAAAGCATTCTCAGAAACTTCTTTATGATGTGTGCATTCAACTCACAGAGTTGAACCTTTCTTTTGATAAAAGTTTTGGTACACTCTTTTTGTAGAATCTCCAAGTGGATATATGGAGGGCTTTGAAGCCTATGGTGGAAAAGGAAATATGTTGACTTAAAAACTAGGCAGAAGCATTCTCAGAAACTTTTTGGTGATATGTGCATTCAACTAAAGTAATGAACTTATCTTTTGATAGAGCAGTTTTGAAACACACTTTCTGTAGAATCTGCAAGTGGATATTTTGTTCCCTTTGAGGCCTATGATGGAAAAGGATCTATCTTCACATAAAAACTAGACAGAAGCATTCTCCGAAACTTCTTTGTGATGTGAGTATTCAACTCACAGAGTTGAACCTATCTTTTGATTGAGCAGTTTTGAATCTCTCTTTTTCTATAATCTGCAAGTTCATATTTGGTTTCTTTGGAGGCTTATGTTGGAAAATGAAATATCTTCACATAAAATCTAGACAGAAGCATTCTCAGAAACTTCTTTGTGATGTGTGCATTCAACTCACAGAGTTGAACCTTTCTTTTGATAGAGCAGTTTTGAAACACTCTTTTTTTAGAATCTGAATGTGGATATTTGGAACGCTTTGAGGCCTATGGTGGAAAACGAAATATCTTCACAAAAAATCAAGACAGAAACCTTCTCAGAAACTTCTTTCTGATGTGTGTATTCTTAGGCCTCAAAGCGCTCTAAGTATCCACTTGCAGATTCTAGAAAAAGATTGTTTCAAAACTGCACATTCAACTCACAGATTTGAAGCTTTCTTTTGATTGAGCAGTTTTGAAACCCCGTTTTTGTAGATTCGGGAAGTGGATAATTAGAACCCTTTGACGCCTATTGTAGAAATGGAAATATCTTCATATAAAAACTACTCAGAAGCATTATCAGAAACTTCTTTGTGATGTGGGCATTCAACTCACAGTGTTGAACCTATCTTTTGAGTGAGCAGTTTTGAATATCTCTTTTTGCAGAATCTGCATGTGGATGATTGGAGCCCTTTGAGGGCTACTGTGGAAAAGCAACTATCTTCACATAAAAACTACACAGAAGCTTTCTGAGAAACTTCTTTGGGATGTGTGCTTTCAACTTACAGAGTTGTACCTATCTTTTGATTGAGCAGTTTTCAATCTCTCTTTTTGCATAATCTGCACGTGGATATTTGGAGCCCTTTGTGGCCAATCCTGGAAAAGAAAATATCTTCAAATAAAAACCACACAGAAACATTCTGAGAATCTTCTTTGTGAGATGTGCATTCATCTCATAGGCTTGAACCTATCTTATGATTGAGCAGTTTTGAAACACTCTTTTTGTAAAATCTGCAATTGGAGATTTGGAGCGCTTTGAGGCCTGTTATGGAAAAGCAGATAGCTTAAGATGAAAACTACACAGAAGCATTTTGAGAAATTTCTTTGTGATGTGTGCATTCATCTCACAGTGTTGAACCTTTCTTATGATTTAGCAGTTTTGAAACACTCTTTTTGAAGAAGCTGCAAGTGGATATTTTGAGCCTTTTGAGGCCTATTGTGGAAAAAGGATTATTTTCACATAAAGACTACACAGAGAGGGAGGAGTCAAGATGGCCGAATAGGAACAGCTCCGGTGTACAGCTCCCAGCGTGAGCAACACAGAAGACGGGCGATTTCTGCATTTCCATCTGAGGTACCGGGTTTATCTCACTAGGGAGTGCCAGACAGTGAGTGCAGGCCAGTGGGTGCATGCACCGTGCACAAGCTGAAGCAGGGTGAGGCATTGACTCACTTGGGAAGCACAAGGGGTCAGGGAGTTCCCTTTCCTAGTCAAAGAAAGGGGTGACGGATGCACCTGGAAAATCGGGTCACTCCCACCCAAATATTGCGCTTTTCAGACCGGCTTAAAAACGGCGAACCACGAGATTATATCCCACACCTGGCTCGAAGGGTCCTACACCCACGGAATCTCACTGATTGCTAGCACAGCAGTCTGAGATCAAACTGCAAGGCGGCAGCGAGGCTGGGGGAGGGGCGCCCGCCATTGCCCAGGCTTGCTTAGGTAAACAAAGCAGCCAGGAACTCGAACTGGGTGGAGCCCACCACAGCTCAAGGAGGCCTGCCTGCCTCTGTAGGCTCCACCTCTGGGGGCAGGGCACAGACAAACAAAAAGACAGCAGTAACCTCTGCAGACTTAAGTGTCCCTGTCTGACAGCTTTGAAGAGAGCAGTGGTTCTCCCAGCACACAGCTGGAGATCTGAGAACCGGCAGACTGCCTCCTCAAGTGGGTCCCTGACCCCTGATCCCCAAGCAGCCTAACTGGGAGGCACCCCCCAGCAGGGGCACACTGACACCTCACAGGGCAGGGTATTCCAACAGACCTGCAGCTGAGGGTCCTGTCTGTTAGAAGGAATACTAACAAACAGAAAGGACATCCACACTGAAAACCCATCTGTACATCACCATCATCAAAGACCAAAAATAGATAAAACCACAAAGATGGGGAGAAAACAGAACAGAAAAACTGGAAACTCTAAAACGCAAAGCGCCTCTCCTCCTCCAAAGGAAAGCAGTTCCTCACCAGCAATGGAACAAAGCTGGATGGAGAATGACTTTGACGAGCTGAGAGAAGAAGGCTTCAGACGATCAAATTACTCTGAGCTACGGGAGGACATTCAAACCAAAGGCAAAGAAGTTGAAAACTTTGAAAAAAATTTAGAAGAATGTATAACTAGAATAACCAATACAGAGAAGTGCTTAAAGGAGCTGATGGAGCTGAAAACCAAGGCTCAAGAACTACGTGAAGAATGCAGAAGCCTCAGGAGCCGATGCAATCAACTGGAAGAAAGGGTATCAGCAATGGAAGATGAAATGAATGAAATGAAGCGAGAAGGGAAGTTTAGAGAAAAAAGAATAAAAAGAAATGAGCAAAGCCTCCAAGAAATGTGGGACTATGTGAAAAGACCAAATCTACGTCTGATTGGTGTACCTGAAAGTGATGGGGAGAATGGAACCAAGTTGGAAAACACTCTGCAGGATATTATCAAGGAGAACTTCCCAAATCTAGCAAGGCAGGCCAACGTTCAGATTCAGGAAATACAGAGAACGCCACAAAGATACTCCTCGAGAAGAGCAACTCCAAGACACATAATTGTCAGATTCACCAAAGTTGAAATGAAGGAAAAAATGTTAAGGGCAGCCAGAGAGAAAGGTCGGGTTACCCTCAAAGGGAAGCCCATCAGACTAACAGCTGATCTCTCGGCAGAAACCCTACAAGCCAGAAGAGAGTGGGGGCCAATATTCAACATTCTTAAAGAAAAGAATTTTCAACCCAGAATTTCATATCCAGCAAAACTAAGCTTCATAAGTGAAGGAGAAATAAAATACTTCACAGACAAGCAAATGCTGAGAGATTTTGTCACCACCAGGCCTGCCTTAAAAGAGCTCCTGAAGGAAGTGCTAAACATGGAAAGGAACAACCGGTACCCGCTGCTGCAAAATCATGCCAAAATGTAAAGACCATCGAGACTAGGAAGAAACTGCATCAACTAATGAGCAAAATCACCAGCTAACATCATAATGACAGGATCAAATTCACACATAACAATATTAACTTTAAATGTAAATGGACTAAATTCTCCAATTAAAAGACACAGATTGGCAAATTGGATAAAGAGTCAAGACCCATCAGTGTGCTGTATTCAGGAAACCCATCTCACGTGCAGAGACACACATAGACTCAAAATAAAAGGATGGAGGAAGATCTACCAAGCAAATGGAAAACAAAAAAAGGCAGGTGTTGCAATCCTAGTCTCTGATAAAACAGACTTTAAACCAACAAAGATCAAAAGAGACAAAGAAGGCCATTACATAATGGTAAAGGGATCAATTCAACAAGAAGAGCTAACTATCCTAAATATATATGCACCCAATACAGGAGCACCCAGATTCATAAAGCAAGTCCTGAGTGACCTACAAAGAGACTTAGACTCCCACACATTAATAATGGGAGACTTTAACACCTCACTGTAAACATTAGACAGATCAACGAGACAGAAAGTCAACAAGGATACTCAGGAATTGAACTCAGCTCTGCACCAAGTGGACCTAATAGACATCTACAGAACTCTCCACCCCAAATCAACAGAATATACATTTTTTTCAGCACCACACCACACCTATTCCAAAATTGACCACATACTTGGAAGTAAAGCTCTCCTCAGCAAATGTAAAACAACAGAAATTACAACAAACTATCTCTCAGACCACAGTGCAATCAAACTAGAACTCAGGATTAAGAATCTCACTCAAAGCCGCTCAACTACATGGAAACTGAACAACCTGCTCCTGAATGACTACTGGGTACATAACGAAATGAAGGCAGAAATAAAGATGTTCTTTGAAACCAATGAGAACAAAGACACAACATACCAGAATCTCTGGGATGCATTCAAAGCAGTGTGTAGAGGGAAATTTATAGCACTAAATGCCCACAAGGGAAAGCAGGAAAGATCCAAAATTGACACCCTAACATCACAATTAAAAGAACTAGAAAAGCAAGAGCAAACACATTCAAAAGCTAGCAGAAGGCAAGAAATAACTAAAATCAGAGCAGAACTGAAGGAAATAGAGACACAAAAAAACCTTCAAATAACCAGTGAATCCAGGAGCTCGTTTTTTGAAATGATCAACAAAATTGATAGACCACTATCAAGACCAATAAAGAAAAAAAAGAGAGAAGAATCAAATAGACACAATAAAAAATGATAAAGGGGATATCACCACTGATCCTACAGAAATACAAACTACCATCAGAGAATACTACAAACACCTCTATGCAAATAAACTAGAAAATCTAGAAGAAATGGATAAATTCCTCAACACATACACTCTCCCAAGACTAAACGAGGAAGAAGTTGAATCTCTGAATAGACCAATAACAGGATCTGAAATTGTGGCAATAATCAATAGTTTACCAACCAAAAAGAGTCCAGGACCAGATGGATTCACAGCTGAATTCTACCAGAGGTACAAGGAGGAACTGGTACCATTCCTTCTGAAACTATTCCAATGAATAGAAAAAGAGGGAATCCTCCCTAACTCATTTTATGAGGCCAGCATCATTCTGATACCAAAGCCGGGCAGAGACACAACCAAAAAAGAGAATTTTAGACCAATATCCTTGATGAACATTGATGCAAAAATCCTCAATAAAATACTGGCAAACCGAATCCAGCAGCACATCGAAAAGCTTATCCACCATGATCAAGTGGGCTTCATCCCTGGGATGCAAGGCTGGTTCAATATACGCAAATCAATAAATGTAATCCAGCATATAAACAGAGCCAAAGACAAAAACCACATGATTATCTCAATAGATGCAGAAAAAGCCTTTGACAAAATTCAACAACGCTTCATGCTAAAAACTCTCAATAAATTAGGTATTGATGGGACGTATTTCAAAATAATAAGAGCTATCTATGACAAACCCACAGCCAATATCATACTGAATGGGCAAAAACTGGAAGCATTCCCTTTGAAAACTGGCACAAGACAGGGATGCCCTCTCTCACCAATCCTATTCAACATACTGTTGGAAATTCTGGCCAGGGCAATTAGGCAGGAGAAGAAAATAAAGGGTATTCAATTAGGAAAAGAGGAAGTCAAAATTGTCCCTGTTTGCAGACGACATGATTGTTTATCTAGAAAACCCCATTGTCTCAGCCCAAAATCTCTTTAAGCTGATAAGCAACTTCAGCAAAGTCTCAGGATACAAAATAAATGTACAAAAATCACAAGCATTCTTATACACCAACAACAGACAAACAAAGAGCCAAATCATGAGTGAACTCCCATTCACAATTGCTTCAAAGAGAATAAAATACCTAGGAATCCAACTTACAAGGGATGTGAAGGACCTCTTCAAGGAGAACTACAAACCACTGCTCAAGGAAATAAAAGAGGATACAAACAAATGGAAGAACATTCCATGCTCATGGGTAGGAAGAATCAATATCGTGAAAATGGCCATACTGCCCAAGGTAATTTACAGATTCAATGCCATCCCCATAAAGCTACCAACGCCTTTCTTCACAGAATTGGAAAAAACTACTTTAAAGTTCATATGGAACCAAAAAAGAGCCCGCATCACCAAGTCAATCCTAAGCCTAAAGAACAAAGCTGGAGGCATCACACTACCTGACTTCAAACTATACTACAAGGCTACAGTAACCAAAACAGCATGGTACTGGTACCAAAACAGAGATATAGATCAATGGAACAGAACAGAGCCCTCAGAAATAACGCCGCATATCTATAACTATCTCATCTTTGACAAAACTGAGAAAAACAAGCAATGGGGAAAGGATTCCGTATTTAATAAATGGTGCTGGGAAAACTGGCTAGCCATATGTAGGAAGCTGAAACTGGATCCTTTCCTTACACCTTATACAAAAATCAATTCAAGATGGATTAAAGATTTAAATGTTAGACCTAAAACCATAAAAACCCTAGAAGAAAACCTAGGCATTACCATTCAGGACATAGGCATGGGCAAGGACTTCATGTCCAAAACACCAAAAGCAATGGCAATGAAAGCCAAAATTGACAAATGGGATCTAATTAAACTAAAGAGCTTCTGCACAGCAAAAGAAACTACTATCAGAGTGAACAGGCAACTTACAAAATGGGAGAAAATTTTCGCAACCTACTCATCTGACAAAGGGCTAATATCCAGAATCTACAATGAACTCAAACAAATTTACAAGAAAAAAACAAACAACCCCATCAAAAAGTGGGCGAAGGACATGAAGAGACACTTCTCAAAAGAAGACATTTATGCAGCCAAAAAACACATGAAACAATGCTCATCATCACTGGCCATCAGAGAAATGCAAATCAAAACCACAATGAGATACCATCTCACACCAGTTAGAATGGCAATCATTAAAAAGTCAGGAAACAACAGGTGCTGGAGAGGATGTGGAGAAATAGGAACACTTTTACACTGTTGGTGGGACTGTAAACTAGTTCAACCATTGTGGAAGTCAGTGTGGCGATTCCTCAGGGATTTAGAACTAGAAATACCATTTGACCCAGCCATCCCCTTACTGGGTATATACCCAAAGGACTATAAATCATGTTGCTATAAAGACACATGCAAATGTATGTTTATTGCAGCATTATTCACAATAGCAAAGACTTGGAACCAACCCAAATGTCCAACAATGATAGAGTGGATTAAGAAAATGTGGCACATATACACCATGGAATACTATGCAGCCATAAAAAATGATGAGTTCATGTCCCTTGTAGGGACATGGATGAAATTGGAAATCATCATTCTCAGTAAACTATCGCAAGAATGAAAAACCAAACACCGCATATTCTCACTCATAGGTGGGAATTGAACAATGAGATCACATGGTCACAGGAAGGGGAATATCACACTCTGGGGACTGTTGTGGGGTGGGGGGAGGGGGGAGGGATAGCATTGGGAGATATACCTAATGCTAGATGACGAGTTAGTGGGTGCAGCGCACCAGCATGGCACATGTATACATATGTAACTAACCTGCACAATGTGCACATGTACTCTAAAACTTAAAGTATAATAAAAAAAAATAGAAAAAAAAAGAAAAGAAAGAAAAAAAAGAAAAAAAGACACTGCACATAAATATTATGAGAAACTTAACTGTGAAGTGTGCATTCAACTTACAGAGTTGAACCTATCTTTTGATTGAGCAGTTTTGAATCTCTCTTTTTGTGAATCTGCAGTTGGATATTTGGAGCCCCTTGAGGCCTACTGTGGAAAAGCCCATATCTTCACATAAAAACTACACAGAAGCATTCTGAGAAACTGCTTTGTGATGTGTGCATTAATCTCACAGAGTTGAATGTTTCTTTTATTTAGCAGTTCTGAATCATTCTTTTTGTAGAATCTGCAAGTCGATATTTGGAGTGCTTTGAGTCCTATGTGGAAAAAGAAATATCTTCACATAAAAACTACACAGAATCATTCTGAGAAACTTCTTTTTGAGGTGTGCATTCAACTCAACGGCTTGAACTTATCTTCTCATTGAGTAGTTTTGAATCTCTCTTTTTGTAGTATCTGCAAGTGGATATTTGGAGAGCTTTGCACCCTATGAGAAAAGCGAAATACCTTTAAATAAAAACTACACAGATGCATTCAGAGAAACTTCTTTGCGATGTATGCGTTCCACTCACAGAGTTGAACCTATCTTTTGATTGAGCAGTTTTGAATCTCACTTTTGCAGAATCTGCATTTGTGTATTTGTAGCCCTTTGAGGCCTACTGTGGAAAAGCAAATATCTTCACATAAAAACTACACAGAAGCATTCTGAGAAATTTCGTTGGAATGGGTGCTTTCAACTCACAGAGTTGAATATGTCTTTTGATTGAGCAGTTTGGAATCTCTCTTTCTGCAGAATCTGCAAGTGGATATTTGGAGCCCTTTGCGGCCTATAGTGGAAAAGGAAATGTCTTCAAATATAAACTACACAGAAACATTCTGAGAAACTCCTTTGTGATGTGTGCATTCTTCTCACAAGGTTAAACATATCTTATGATTGAGCAGTTTTGAAACACTCTTTTTGTAGAATCTGCAATTGGATATTTCGAGCATTTTGCACCCTATGGTGGAAAAGGAGATATCTTCAAATAAAAACTACACAGAAGCATTCTCAGAAACTTCTTATTGATGTGTGCATTCACCTCACAGTGTTGAACCTGTGTTTTGATTGAGCAATTTTGAATCTCTCTTTTTGCAGAATCTACAAGTGGATGTTTGAAGATCTGTGAGGCCTATTGTGGAAAAGGAGATATCTTCACGTAAAAACTACTCAGAAGCATTCTGAGAAACTACTTTGCCATTTGTACATTCGTCACACAGAGTTTAAATTTTCTTTTGAATGAGTAGTTTTGAGACACTATTTTTGTAGAATCTGCAGAGGCATTATTGTAGCCCTTTGTGGCCTATTGTGGAAAAGGAAATATCTTCACATCAAAACTACTCAGAAGCATTCTGAGAAATTACTTTGTGATGTGCGCATTCATCTCACAGAGTTGCACCTATCTTTTGGTTGAATAGTTTAGAATCTCTGATTTTGTAGAATCTGCAAGTGGATATTTGGATCCCTTTGCACTCTACGGTGAAAAAGGAAATATCTTCAAATAAAAAGTACATGGAAGCATTCTCAGAATCTGCTTCGTAATGTGTGCATTGAACTCACAGAGTTGAAACTTTCTTTTGATGGAGCAGTGTTGAAACATTCTTTTTGGAGAATCTGCACGTGGATATTGGGAGGGCTTTGAGAACTATGGTGGAAAAGGAAATATATTGACATAAAAACTAGACAGAAGAATTCTCAGATACTTCTTTGTGATGTGTGCATTCAACTGAGAGTTGAACCTTTCTTTTGATAGAGCAGTCTTGAAACACTCTTTTTGTAGAATCTGCAAGTGGATATTTGGAGCATTTTGAGGCCTATGGTGGATAAGGAAATATGTTTAAATAAAATCTAGACTGAAGGATTCTCAGAATCTTCTTTGTGATGTGTGCATTCAACTCACAGAGTTGAAACATTTTTTTGAAAGAGCAGTTTTGAAATACTCTTTTTGTAGAATCTGCACGTGGATATTTGGAACCCTTTCAGGAATATGGTGGAAAAGGAAACATCTTCACATAAAAACTAGACAGAAGCATTCTCAGAAACTTCTTTGTGAAGTGTGCATTCAACTCAAAGAGTTGAAATTTTCTTCGTTAGAGCAATTATGAAACACGTTTTTTGTACAATCTGCAAATGGATATTTGAAGCTCTTTGAGGCCTATGGTGGAAAAGGAAATATATTCATTTTAAAACTAGATGGAAGCATTCTCAGAAAATTCTTTGTGATATGTACATTCAACTCACAGACTTGAACGTCTCTTTTGGTAGAGCAGTTTTGAAAAACTGTTTTTGTAGAATCTGCAAGTGGACATTTGCAGTGCTTTGAGGCCTATGGTGGAAAAGGAAATAACTAAACATTAAAACTACACAGAAGCACTCTCGCAAACTTCTTTGTGATGTTTGCATTCAACTTACCGAGTTGATCATTCTTTTGAAAGAGCAGTTTTGAAACACTCTTTTTGTAGAATCTGCAAGTAGATATTTGTATCCCTTTGAGGACTATGGTGGAAAATGAAATATCTTCACATAAAAACTAGACAGAAGCATTCTCAGAAACTCCTTTGTGATGTGTGCATTCGTCTCATAGAGTTGAACCTTTCTTTTGACAGAGCAGTTTTGAAAAACTCTTTTTGTAGAATCTGCAAACGGATATTTGGAGTGCTTTGAGGCGATTGTTGGAAAAGGAAATATCTGCACATAAAAAATAGACAGAAGCATTCTCCGAAACTACTTTGTGATGTGTGCATTCAACTCACAGAGTTGGAGCATTCTTTTGATAGAGCAGTTTTGAAAAACTCTTTTTGTAGGACCTGCAATTGGATATTTGGTTCCCTTTGTGACCTGTGTTGGAAAAGGAAATATCTTCACATAAAAATTAGACGGAAGCATTCTCAGAAACTTCTTGTGATGTGTGCATTCAACTCCCAGAGTTGAACCTTTCTTTTGATAGAACAGATTTGAAACACTATTTTTGTAGAATCGGCAAGTGGATATTTAGTTCCCTTTGAGGTCTATGTTGGAAAATGAAATATTTTCACATAAAAACTAGACAGAATCTTTCTCAGAAACTTCGTTGTGCTGTTTTCATTCAACTCACAGAGTTGAACCTTTCTTTGATAGAGCAGTTTTCAAAAACTCTCTTGTAGATTCTGCATGTGGACATTTGGAGCCTATGGTGGACTTTGATGCCTATGGTGGAAAAGAAAATATCTTCATATAAAACTAGACAGAAGCGTTCTCAGAAAGTTATTTGTGATGTGTGCATTCAACTCACAGATTTGAAACTTCCTTTTGATAGACCTGTTTTGAAACACTCGTATTATAGCTCTGCAAGTGTATCTTTGGAGCGCTTTGAGGCCTACGGTGGGAAAGGAAATAACTTAACATAAAAATTACGGAGAAGCATTCTCAGAAACTTCTTTTTGATGTGTGCATGAAACTCACAGAATTGAACCTTTCTTTTGATAGAGGAGTTTTGAAACACTGTTTTTTCTGGATCTGTAAGTTGATATTTGGTTCCCTTGGAGGCCTTGTTGTAAAGCAAAATATCTTCACATAAAACTAGACAGAAGCATTCTCAGAAACTTCTTTGTGGTGTGTGCATTCAACTCACAGAGTTGAATTTTTTTTTTTTTTGATAGAGCAGTATTGAAACACTCTTTTTGTAGAATCTACAAGTGGTTATTTTGTTCACTGTGAGGCCTATGGTGGAAAAGGAAATATCTTGACATAAAAAAATAGACAGAAGCATTCTCTGAAACTTCTTTGTGATGTGTGCATTCAATTCACAGAGTTGAACTTTTCTTTTGATAGAGTAGTTTTGAAATACTCTTTTTGTAGAATCTGCAAGTGGATATTTTCTTCCCTTTGAAGCCTATGTTGGAAAACAAAATATGTTCACATAAAAACTGGACAGAAGCATTCTCAGAAACTTCTTTATTATGTGTGCATTCAACTCACAGAGTTGAACTTTTCTTTTGATAGAGCAGTTTTGAAACACACTTTTTGTAAAATCTGCAAGTGGATATTTGGAGCCCTTTCAGCCCTGTGGTGGAAAAGGAAATATCTTGACATAAAAGCTAGACAGAGGCATTCTCAGAAATTTCTTTGTGATCTGTGCATTCAGCTCACAAAATTGAACATTTCTTCTGATAGAGCAGTTTTGAAACACTCTTTTTGTAGAATCTGCAAGTGGATATTTCGTTCCCATTGAGGCCTCTGTTGGAAAACAAAATATCTTCACATAAATACTAGATAGAAGCATTCTCATAAACTTCTTTGTGATGTGTGCTTTCCACTCACAGGGTTGAAACTTTCTTTTGATAGAGCAGTTTTGACACCCTCTATTATAATATCTGCAAGTGGATATATGGGGCCATTTGTGGCCTATGGTGGAAAAGGAAGTATCTTCAGGTAAAAACTGGACAGGAGCATTCTCAGAAACTTCTTTGTGAAGTGTGCATTCAACTCACACAGTTGTACCCTTCTTTTGATAGAGCAGTATTGAAACACTCTTTTTGTAGAATCTGCCAGTGGATATGTTGTTCCCTTTGAGGTCTATGTTGGAAAACGAAATATCTTCACATAAAAACTAGACAGAAACATTCTCAGAAACTTCTTTGTGGTGAGGGGTTTCAACTCAGAAAGTTGAAGCTTTCTTTTGATAGAGTAGTTTTGAAACACTCTTTTTGCAGAATCTGCAAGTGAATAATTAGAGCTCTTTGAGACCAATGATGGAAAACAAAATATCTTTGCAAAAAAAGTAGAAAGAAGCATTCTCAGAAACTTCTTTGTGATGTGTGCATTCAACTCACAGATTTGAAGCATTCTTTTGGTAGAGCAGTTTTGAAACACATTTTTTGTAGAATTTGCAATTGGATATATGGAGCGCTTGGAGGCCTATAGCGGAAAAGGAAATATCTTCACATAAAAAGTAGACAGAAGCATTCTCTGAAACTTCTTTGTGATGCGTGGATTTAACTCACTGAGCTGAACCTTTCTATTGATAGAGCAGTTCTGATGGACTCTTTTTGTAGAATCTGCAATTGGATATTTGGAGCGCTTTGAGGCCTATGGTGAAAAGGAAATATCTTCACATAAAAAGTAGACAGAAGCGTTCCCCAAAACTTCTTTGTGATGTGTGAAATCAACTCACGGTGTTGAACATTTCTTTTGATAGAGCAGTTTGAAAACTCCCTTTTTTTAAAATCTGCAAGTGGACATATGGAGCACTTTGAGGCCTATGGTGGAGAAAGAAATATCTTCAGGTAAAAATTAGAAAGAAGCATTCTCTGAAACTACATAGTGACCTGTGCATTCTACTCACAGTGTTGAAACTTTCTTTTGACAGAACAGTTTTCAAACACTATTTTGGTAATATCTGCAAGTGAATATGTGGACCGCTTTGAGGACTGTGGTGGAAAAGGAAATATCTTCACGTAAAAACTAAACAGGAGCAGTCTCAGAAACTTCTTCGAGATGTGTGCATTCAACTCAGAGAGATGTACACTTTTTTTGATAGAGCAGATTTGAAATACTCTTTCTGAAGGATCTGTAGTTGCATATGCGGTTCCCTTTGAGGCATATGTTGGAAAACGAAATATCTTTACATAATAAACAGACAGAAGCATTCTCAGAAACTCCTTTGTGATGTGTGCATTCAACTCACAGAGTTGAACCTTCTTTTGATAGAGCAGTTTTGAAACACTCTTTTTGTAGAATCTGCAAGTGGATATTTGGAACGCCTTGAGGCCTATGGTGGAAAAGGAAATATCCTCACATAAAAACTAGACAGAAACATTCTCGGAAACATTTTTGTGATCTGTGCATTCAACTCACAGAGTTGAAAGTTTCTGTTGATAGAGCAGTTTTGAAACACTCTTCTTGTATAATCTGCAAGTTCATATTTGGTACCTTTTGAAGGCTGTGTTGGAAAACGAAATACCTTAACATAAAATCTAGACAGAAGCATTCTGAGAAACTACTTCGTGTTGGGTGCATTCAACCCACAGGGTTGAAGCTTTCTTTTGATAGAGCAGGTTTGAAACACTCTTTTTGTAGTATCTGCATGTGGATATTTGGAGCCCTTTGAGGCCTACGGAAGAAAAGGAAATATCTTCACATTAAAACTAGACATAAGCATTCTCCGATACTACTTTGTGACGTGTGCATTCAACTCATAGAGTTGAATTTTTCTTTTGAAACAGCAGTTTTGAAACACTCTTTTTGTAGTGTCTTCAAAAGGATATTTGTTGTGCTTTAAGGACTATGATGTAAAAGGAAATATCTTCACTTGAAAACTAGACAGAAGCATTCTTCGAAACTTCTTTGTGATGTGTGCATTCAACCCACAGTGTTGGACCTTTCTTTTCATAGAGCAGTTTTGAAACACTCTTTTTGTAGAATCTGCAAATGGATACTTGGAGCGCTCTGAGGCCTAAGGTGGAAAAGACATAATCTTCATATGAAAACTAGACAAAAGTATCCTCCGAAACTTCTTTGTGATGTGTGAATTAAGCTCACACAGTTGAACCTTTCCTTTGTTATAGCAGTTTTGAAACACTCTTTTTGTAGTATCTGCAAGTGCATATTTGAGCACTTTGAGGCC